>NC_000020.11:28317842-28445967 GCF_000001405.40 Homo sapiens | reverse complement strand
TCTATCTAGATTTTCTTGGAAGATATTTCCATTTTCACCGTCGTCCTGAAAGCGCTCCAAATGTCCACTTCCAGGGAATGCAGAAAGAGTGTTTCCAACCTGCTCTATAAAAGGGAATGTTCAACACTGGGACTTCAATCGAAACATCCCAACGAAGTTTCTGAGAATGCTTCTGTCTAGAGTTTATATGAAGCCATTCCCGTTTGCAACGAAATCCTCAAAGCTATCCAAATATCCTCTTGCAGATTTTACAAAAAGAGTGTTTCAAAACTGCTCTATCAAAAGAAAGGTTCAACTCTGTTAGTTGAGGGCACACATCACAAATAAACTTCTGAGAATGCTTCTGTCTAGTTTTCATGGGAAGATATTTCCTTTTTCACCATAGGCCTGAAAGCGATCCAAATGTCCACATCCAGATACTACAAAAAGAGTGTTTCAAACCTGCTCTATGAAAGGGAATGCTCAACTCTGTGAATTGAATGCAGACATCACAAAGAAGTTTCTCAGAATGCTGCTGTCTCCTTTGTATATGTAATCCCATTTCCAACGAAATCCTCAAAGCTAGCCAAATATCCACTTGCAGATTCCACGAAAACAGTGTTTCAAAACTGCTCCTTCAAAACGATGGTTCAATCCTGTTAGTTGAGCAAACACATCACAAATAAGTTTCTGAGAATGCTTCCGTCTAGTTTTTATGGGAAGATATTTCCTTTTTCAACATAGGCCTGAAAGCGCTCCAAATGTCCACTTCCAGATACTACAAAAAGAGTGTTTCAAATCTGCTCTATGAATGGGAATGTTCTACTCTGTGACTTGAATGCAACATCCCAAAGAAGTTTCTGAGAATGCTTCTGTCTAGAGTTTATCTGAAGACATACCCGTTTCCAACGAAATCCTCCAAGCTATCCAAATATCCTCTTGCAGATTCTACAAAAAGAGTGTTTCAAAGCTGCTCTTTGCAAAGAAAGGTTCAACTCTGTCAGTAGAGGGGACACATCAAGAACAAGTTTCTGAGAATGCTTCTGTCTAGTTTTTATGGGAAGATATTTCCTTTTTCACGTTAGGCCTGAAAGCACGCCAAATGTTCACTTATAGACACTACAAAAAGAGTGTTTCAAACCTGCTCTGTGAAAGGGAATGTTCAACACTGTGACTTCAATTGAAACATCCCAAAGAAGTTTCTGAGAGTGCTTCTGTCTAGAGTTTATCTGAAGACATTCCCGTTTCCCAAGAAATCCTCAAAGCTATCCAAATATCCTCTTGCAGATTCTACAAAAAGAGTGTTTCAAAACTGCTCTTTGCAAAGAAAGGTTCAACTCTGTCAGTAGAGGGCACACATCACAAACAAGTTTCTGAGAATGCTTCTGTCTAGTTTTTATGGGAAGATATTTCCTTTTTCACCTTAGGCCTGAAAGCAATCCATATGTTCACTTACAGACACTACAAAAAGAGTGTTTCAAACCTGCTCTGTGAAAGGGAGTGTTCAATTCTGTGACTTGAATGCAAACATCACAAAGTAGTTTCTGACAATGCTGCTGTCTGCTTTTTATACGTATTCCCGTTTCCAACGAAATCCTCCAAGCTGGCCTAATACCCACTTGCATATTCCACACAAAGAGTGTTTCAAAACTGCTCTCTCAAAAGAAAGGTTCAACTCTTTTAGCTGAGTAGATACATCATGAAAAAAGTTCTGACATTGCTTCTATCTAGTTTTTATTGGAAGATATCTCCTTTTTCACCGTAGACCTGAAAGCGCTCCAAATGTCCACTTCCAGATAGTACAAAAAGAGTGTTTCAAACCTGCTCTATGAATGGGAATGTTCAACACTGGGACTTCAATTGAAACATCCCAAAGCAGTTTCTGAGAATGCTTCTGTCTAGAGTTTACATGAAGACATTCCCGTTTCCAACGAAATCCTCAAAGCTATCCAAATATCCTCTTGCAGATTTTACAAAAAGTGTGTTTCAGAACTGCTCTATCAAAACAAAGGTTCAACACTGTCAGTTGAGGGCACACATCACAAATAAGTTTCTGAGAATGCTGCTGTCTGCTTTTTGTATGTAATCCCGTTTCCAACGAAATCCTCCCAGCTAGCCAAATATCCACTTGCAGATTCCGCAAAAAGAGTGTTTCAAAACTGCTCCTTCAAAACGATGGTTTAGTTCTGTTAGTTGAGTACATACATCACAGATAAGTTTCTGAGAATGCTTCTGTCTAGTTTTTATGGGAGGATATTTCCTTTTTCAACACAAGCCTGAATGCGCTCCGAATGGACACTTCCAGATATGACAAAAGGCGTGTTTCAAACCTGCTCTCTCAAAGGGAATGTTCAACTCTGTGACTTCAATGCAAACATCACAAAGAAGTTTCTGAGAATGCTGCTGTCTGCTTTTTACATGTATTCCCGTTTCCAACGAAATCCTCAAAGCTGCCCTAATATCCACTTGCATATTCCACAAAAAGAGTGTTGCAAAACTGCTCTCTCAAAAGAAAGGTTCAACTCTGTTAGCTGAGTAGATCCATCACATAAAAGTTTCTGACATTGCTTCTATCTAGATTTTCTTGGAAGATATTTCCATTTTCACCGTCGTCCTGAAAGCGCTCCAAATGTCCACTTCCAGGGAATGCAGAAAGAGTGTTTCCAACCTGCTCTATAAAAGGGAATGTTCAACACTGGGACTTCAATCGAAACATCCCAACGAAGTTTCTGAGAATGCTTCTGTCTAGAGTTTATATGAAGCCATTCCCGTTTGCAACGAAATCCTCAAAGCTATCCAAATATCCTCTTGCAGATTTTACAAAAAGAGTGTTTCAAAACTGCTCTATCAAAAGAAAGGTTCAACTCTGTTAGTTGAGGGCACACATCACAAATAAACTTCTGAGAATGCTTCTGTCTAGTTTTCATGGGAAGATATTTCCTTTTTCACCATAGGCCTGAAAGCGATCCAAATGTCCACATCCAGATACTACAAAAAGAGTGTTTCAAACCTGCTCTATGAAAGGGAATGTTCAACTCTGTGACTTGAATGCAAACATCACAAAGAAGTTTCTGAGAATGCTGCTGTCTCCTTTTTATATGTAATCCCGTTTCCAACGAAATCCTCAAAGCTAGCCAAATATCCACTTGCAGATTCCACGAAAACAGTGTTTCAAAACTGCTCCTTCAAAACGATGGTTCAATCCTGTTAGTTGAGCAAACACATCACAAATAAGCTTCTGAGAATGCTTCCGTCTAGTTTTTATGGGAAGATATTTCCTTTTTCAACATAGGCCTGAAAGCGCTCCAAATGTCCACTTCCAGATACTACAAAAAGAGTGTTTCAAATCTGCTCTATGAATGGGAATGTTCTACTCTGTGACTTGAATGCAACATCCCAAAGAAGTTTCTGAGAATGCTTCTGTCTAGAGTTTATCTGAAGACATACCCGTTTCCAACGAAATCCTCAAAGCTATCCAAATATCCTCTTGCAGATTCTACAAAAAGAGTGTTTCAAAGCTGCTCTTTGCAAAGAAAGGTTCAACTCTGTCAGTAGAGGGCACACATCACGAACAAGTTTCTGAGAATGCTTCTGTCTAGTTTTTATGGGAAGATATTTCCTTTTTCACGTTAGGCCTGAAAGCACGCCAAATGTTCACTTATAGACACTACAAAAAGAGTGTTTCAAACCTGCTCTGTGAAAGGGAATGTTCAACACTGACTTCAATTGAAACATCCCAAAGAAGTTTCTGAGAATGCTTCTGTCTAGAGTTTATCTGAAGACATTCCCGTTTCCCAAGAAATCCTCAAAGCTATCCAAATATCCTCTTGCAGATTCTACAAAAAGAGTGTTTCAAAACTGCTCTTTGCAAAGAAAGGTTCAACTCTGTCAGTAGAGGGCACACATCACAAACAAGTTTCTGAGAATGCTTCTGTCTAGTTTTTATGGGAAGATATTTCCTTTTTCACCTTAGGCCTGAAAGCAATCCAAATGTTCACTTACAGACACTACAAAAAGAGTGTTTCAAACCTGCTCTGTGAAAGGGAGTGTTCAATTCTGTGACTTGAATGCAAATATCACAAAGTAGTTTCTGACAATGCTGCTGTCTGCTTTTTATACGTATTCCCGTTTCCAACGAAATCCTCCAAGCTGGCCTAATACCCACTTGCATATTCCACAAAAAGAGTGTTTCAAAACTGCTCTCTCAAAAGAAAGGTTCAACTCTGTTTGCTGAGTAGATACATCATGAAAAAAGTTCTGACATTGCTTCTATCTAGTTTTTATTGGAAGATATCTCCTTTTTCACCGTAGACCTGAAAGCGCTCCAAATGTCCACTTCCAGATAGTACAAAAAGAGAGTTTCAAACCTGCTCTATGAATGGGAATGTTCAACACTGGGACTTCAATCGAAACATCCCAACGAAGTTTCTGAGAATGCTTCTGTCTAGAGTTTACATGAAGACATTCCCGTTTCCAACGAAATCCTCAAAGCTATCCAAATATCCTCTTGCAGATTTTACAAAAAGTGTGTTTCAGAACTGCTCTATCAAAACAAAGGTTCAACACTGTCAGTTGAGGGCACACATCACAAATAAGTTTCTGAGAATGCTGCTGTCTGCTTTTTGTATGTAATCCCGTTTCCAACGAAATCCTCCCAGCTAGCCAAATATCCACTTGCAGATTCCGCAAAAAGAGTGTTTCAAAACTGCTCCTTCAAAACGATGGTTTAGTTCTGTTAGTTGAGTACATACATCACAGATAAGTTTCTGAGAATGCTTCTGTCTAGTTTTTATGGGAGGATATTTCCTTTTTCAACACAAGCCTGAATGCGCTCCGAATGGACACTTCCAGATATGACAAAAGGCGTGTTTCAAACCTGCTCTCTCAAAGGGAATGTTCAACTCTGTGACTTCAATGCAAACATCACAAAGAAGTTTCTGAGAATGCTGCTGTCTGCTTTTTACATGTATTCCCGTTTCCAACGAAATCCTCAAAGCTGCCCTAATATCCACTTGCATATTCCACAAAAAGAGTGTTGCAAAACTGCTCTCTCAAAAGAAAGGTTCAACTCTGTTAGCTGAGTAGATCCATCACATAAAAGTTTCTGACATTGCTTCTATCTAGATTTTCTTGGAAGATATTTCCATTTTCACCGTCGTCCTGAAAGCGCTCCAAATGTCCACTTCCAGGGAATGCAGAAAGAGTGTTTCCAACCTGCTCTATAAAAGGGAATGTTCAACACTGGGACTTCAATCGAAACATCCCAACGAAGTTTCTGAGAATGCTTCTGTCTAGAGTTTATATGAAGCCATTCCCGTTTGCAACGAAATCCTCAAAGCTATCCAAATATCCTCTTGCAGATTTTACAAAAAGAGTGTTTCAAAACTGCTCTATCAAAAGAAAGGTTCAACTCTGTTAGTTGAGGGCACACAACACAAATAAATTTCTGAGAATGCTTCTGTCTAGTTTTTACGGGAAGATATTTCCTTTTTCACCATACGCCTGAAAGCGCTCCAAATGTCCTCATCCAGATACTACAAAAAGAGTGTTTCCAACCTGCTCTATGAAAGGGAATGCTCAACTCTGTGACTTGAATGCAGACATCACAAAGAAGTTTCTGAGAATGCTGCTGTCTCCTTTTTATATGTAATCCCGTTTCCAACGAAATCCTCAAAGCTAGCCAAATATCCACTTGCAGATTCCACGAAAACAGTGTTTCAAAACTGCTCCTTCAAAACGATGGTTCAATCCTGTTAGTTGAGCAAACACATCACAAATAAGTTTCTGAGAATGCTTCCGTCTAGTTTTTATGGGAAGATATTTCCTTTTTCAACATAGGCCTGAAAGCGCTCCAAATGTCCACTTCCAGATACTACAAAAAGAGTGTTTCAAATCTGCTCTATGAATGGGAATGTTCTACTCTGTGACTTGAATGCAACATCCCAAAGAAGTTTCTGAGAATGCTTCTGTCTAGAGTTTATGTGAAGACATACCCGTTTCCAACGAAATCCTCAAAGCTATCCAAATATCCTCTTGCAGATTCTACAAAAAGAGTGTTTCAAAGCTGCTCTTTGCAAAGAAAGGTTCAACTCTGTCAGTAGAGGGCACACATCACAAACAAGTTTCTGAGAATGCTTCTGTCTAGTTTTTATGGGAAGATATTTCCTTTTTCACGTTAGGCCTGAAAGCACGCCAAATGTTCACTTATAGACACTACAAAAAGAGTGTTTCAAACCTGCTCTGTGAAAGGGAATGTTCAACACTGTGACTTCAATTGAAACATCCCAAAGAAGTTTCTGAGAATGCTTCTGTCTAGAGTTTATCTGAAGACATTCCCGTTTCCCAAGAAATCCTCAAAGCTATCCAAATATCCTCTTGCAGATTCTACAAAAAGAGTGTTTCAAAACTGCTCTTTGCAAAGAAAGGTTCAACTCTGTCAGTAGAGGGCACACATCACAAACAAGTTTCTGAGAATGCTTCTGTCTAGTTTTTATGGGAAGATATTTCCTTTTTCACCTTAGGCCTGAAAGCAATCCATATGTTCACTTACAGACACTACAAAAAGAGTGTTTCAAACCTGCTCTGTGAAAGGGAGTGTTCAATTCTGTGACTTGAATGCAAACATCACAAAGTAGTTTCTGACAATGCTGCTGTCTGCTTTTTATACGTATTCCCGTTTCCAACGAAATCCTCCAAGCTGGCCTAATACCCACTTGCATATTCCACAAAAAGAGTGTTTCAAAACTGCTCTCTCAAAAGAAAGGTTCAACTCTGTTTGCTGAGTAGATACATCATGAAAAAAGTTCTGACATTGCTTCTATCTAGTTTTTATTGGAAGATATCTCCTTTTTCACCGTAGACCTGAAAGCGCTCCAAATGTCCACTTCCAGATAGTACAAAAAGAGTGTTTCAAACCTGCTCTATGAATGGGAATGTTCAACACTGGGACTTCAATTGAAACATCCCAAAGCAGTTTCTGAGAATGCTTCTGTCTAGAGTTTACATGAAGACATTCCCGTTTCCAACGAAATCCTCAAAGCTATCCAAATATCCTCTTGCAGATTTTACAAAAAGTGTGTTTCAGAACTGCTCTATCAAAACAAAGGTTCAACACTGTCAGTTGAGGGCACACATCACAAATAAGTTTCTGAGAATGCTGCTGTCTGCTTTTTGTATGTAATCCCGTTTCCAACGAAATCCTCCCAGCTAGCCAAATATCCACTGGCAGATTCCGCAAAAAGAGTGTTTCAAAACTGCTCCTTCAAAACGATGGTTTAGTTCTGTTAGTTGAGTACATACATCACAGATAAGTTTCTGAGAATGCTTCTGTCTAGTTTTTATGGGAGGATATTTCCTTTTTCAACACAAGCCTGAATGCGCTCCGAATGGACACTTCCAGATATGACAAAAGGCGTGTTTCAAACCTGCTCTCTCAAAGGGAATGTTCAACTCTGTGACTTCAATGCAAACATCACAAAGAAGTTTCTGAGAATGCTGCTGTCTGCTTTTTACATGTATTCCCGTTTCCAACGAAATCCTCAAAGCTGCCCTAATATCCACTTGCATATTCCACAAAAAGAGTGTTGCAAAACTGCTCTCTCAAAAGAAAGGTTCAACTCTGTTAGCTGAGTAGATCCATCACATAAAAGTTTCTGACATTGCTTCTATCTAGATTTTCTTGGAAGATATTTCCATTTTCACCGTCGTCCTGAAAGCGCTCCAAATGTCCACTTCCAGGGAATGCAGAAAGAGTGTTTCCAACCTGCTCTATAAAAGGGAATGTTCAACACTGGGACTTCAATCGAAACATCCCAACGAAGTTTCTGAGAATGCTTCTGTCTAGAGTTTATATGAAGCCATTCCCGTTTGCAACGAAATCCTCAAAGCTATCCAAATATCCTCTTGCAGATTTTACAAAAAGAGTGTTTCAAAACTGCTCTATCAAAAGAAAGGTTCAACTCTGTTAGTTGAGGGCACACATCACAAATAAACTTCTGAGAATGCTTCTGTCTAGTTTTTACGGGAAGATATTTCCTTTTTCACCATACGCCTGAAAGCGCTCCAAATGTCCTCATCCAGATACTACAAAAAGAGTGTTTCCAACCTGCTCTATGAAAGGGAATGCTCAACTCTGTGACTTGAATGCAGACATCACAAAGAAGTTTCTGAGAATGCTGCTGTCTCCTTTTTATATGTAATCCCGTTTCCAACGAAATCCTCAAAGCTAGCCAAATATCCACTTGCAGATTCCACGAAAACAGTGTTTCAAAACTGCTCCTTCAAAACGATGGTTCAATCCTGTTAGTTGAGCAAACACATCACAATTAAGTTTCTGAGAATGCTTCCGTCTAGTTTTTATGGGAAGATATTTCCTTTTTCAACATAGGCCTGAAAGCGCTCCAAATGTCCACTTCCAGATACTACAAAAAGAGTGTTTCAAATCTGCTCTATGAATGGGAATGTTCTACTCTGTGACTTGAATGCAACATCCCAAAGAAGTTTCTGAGAATGCTTCTGTCTAGAGTTTATCTGAAGACATACCCGTTTCCAACGAAATCCTCCAAGCTATCCAAATATCCTCTTGCAGATTCTACAAAAAGTGTGTTTCAAAGCTGCTCTTTGCAAAGAAAGGTTCAACTCTGTCAGTAGAGGGCACACATCACGAACAAGTTTCTGAGAATGCTTCTGTCTAGTTTTTATGGGAAGATATTTCCTTTTTCACGTTAGGCCTGAAAGCACGCCAAATGTTCACTTATAGACACTACAAAAAGAGTGTTTCAAACCTGCTCTGTGAAAGGGAATGTTCAACACTGTGACTTCAATTGAAATATCCCAAGAAGTTTCTGAGAATGCTTCTGTCTAGAGTTTATCTGAAGACATTCCCGTTTCCCAAGAAATCCTCAAAGCTATCCAAATATCCTCTTGCAGATTCTACAAAAAGAGTGTTTCAAAACTGCTCTTTGCAAAGAAAGGTTCAACTCTGTCAGTAGAGGGCACACATCACAAACAAGTTTCTGAGAATGCTTCTGTCTAGTTTTTATGGGAAGATATTTCCTTTTTCACCTTAGACCTGAAAGCAATCCAAATGTTCACTTACAGACACTACAAAAAGAGTGTTTCAAACCTGCTCTGTGAAAGGGAGTGTTCAATTCTGTGACTTGAATGCAAACATCACAAAGTAGTTTCTGACAATGCTGCTGTCTGCTTTTTATACGTATTCCCGTTTCCAACGAAATCCTCCAAGCTGGCCTAATACCCACTTTCATATTCCACAAAAAGAGTGTTTCAAAACTGCTCTCTCAAAAGAAAGGTTCAACTCTGTTTGCTGAGTAGATACATCATGAAAAAAGTTCTGACATTGCTTCTATCTAGTTTTTATTGGAAGATATCTCCTTTTTCACCGTAGACCTGAAAGCGCTCCAAATGTCCACTTCCAGATAGTACAAAAAGAGTGTTTCAAACCTGCTCTATGAAAGGGAATGTTCAACACTGGGACTTCAATTGAAACATCCCAAAGCAGTTTCTGAGAATGCTTCTGTCTAGAGTTTACATGAAGACATTCCCGTTTCCAACGAAATCCTCAAAGCTATCCAAATATCCTCTTGCAGATTTTACAAAAAGTGTGTTTCAGAACTGCTCTATCAAAACAAAGGTTCAACACTGTCAGTTGAGGGCACACATCACAAATAAGTTTCTGAGAATGCTGCTCTCTGCTTTTTGTATGTAATCCCGTTTCCAACGAAATCCTCCCAGCTAGCCAAATATCCACTTGCAGATTCCGCAAAAAGAGTGTTTCAAAACTGCTCCTTCAAAACGATGGTTTAGTTCTGTTAGTTGAGTACATACATCACAGATAAGTTTCTGAGAATGCTTCTGTCTAGTTTTTATGGGAGGATATTTCCTTTTTCAACACAAGCCTGAATGCGCTCCGAATGGACACTTCCAGATATGACAAAAGGCGTGTTTCAAACCTGCTCTCTCAAAGGGAATGTTCAACTCTGTGACTTCAATGCAAACATCACAAAGAAGTTTCTGAGAATGCTGCTGTCTGCTTTTTACATGTATTCCCGTTTCCAACGAAATCCTCAAAGCTGCCCTAATATCCACTTGCATATTCCACAAAAAGAGTGTTGCAAAACTGCTCTCTCAAAAGAAAGGTTCAACTCTGTTAGCTGAGTAGATCCATCACAGAAAAGTTTCTGACGTTGCTTCTATCTAGATTTTATTGGAAGATATTTCCATTTTCACCGTCGTCCTGAAAGCGCTCCAAATGTCCACTTCCAGGGAATGCAGAAAGAGTGTTTCCAACCTGCTCTATAAAAGGGAATGTTCAACACTGGGACTTCAATCGAAACATCCCAACGAAGTTTCTGAGAATGCTTCTGTCTAGAGTTTATATGAAGCCATTCCCGTTTGCAACGAAATCCTCAAAGCTATCCAAATATCCTCTTGCAGATTTTACAAAAAGAGTGTTTCAAAACTGCTCTATCAAAAGAAAGGTTCAACTCTGTTAGTTGAGGGCACACATCACAAATAAATTTCTGAGAATGCTTCTGTCTAGTTTTTACGGGAAGATATTTCCTTTTTCACCATACGCCTGAAAGCGCTCCAAATGTCCTCATCCAGATACTACAAAAAGAGTGTTTCCAACCTGCTCTATGAAAGGGAATGCTCAACTCTGTGAATTGAATGCAGACATCACAAAGAAGTTTCTGAGAATGCTGCTGTCTCCTTTTTATATGTAATCCCGTTTCCAACGAAATCCTCAAAGCTAGCCAAATATCCACTTGCAGATTCCACGAAAACAGTGTTTCAAAACTGCTCCTTCAAAACGATGGTTCAATTCTGTTAGTTGAGCAAACACATCACAAGTAAGTTTCTGAGAATGCTTCCGTCTAGTTTTTATGGGAAGACATTTCCTTTTTCAACATAGGCCTGAAAGCGCTCCAAATGTCCACTTCCAGATACTACAAAAAGAGTGTTTCAAATCTGCTCTATGAATGGGAATGTTCTACTCTGTGACTTGAATGCAACATCCCAAAGAAGTTTCTGAGAATGCTTCTGTCTAGAGTTTATCTGAAGACATACCCGTTTCCAACGAAATCCTCCAAGCTATCCAAATATCCTCTTGCAGATTCTACAAAAAGTGTGTTTCAAAGCTGCTCTTTGCAAAGAAAGGTTCAACTCTGTCAGTAGAGGGCACACATCACGAACAAGTTTCTGAGAATGCTTCTGTCTAGTTTTTATGGGAAGATATTTCCTTTTTCACGTTAGGCCTGAAAGCACGCCAAATGTTCACTTATAGACACTACAAAAAGAGTGTTTCAAACCTGCTCTGTGAAAGGGAATGTTCAACACTGTGACTTCAATTGAAACATCCCAAAGAAGTTTCTGAGAATGCTTCTGTCTAGAGTTTATCTGAAGACATTCCCGTTTCCCAAGAAATCCTCAAAGCTATCCAAATATCCTCTTGCAGATTCTACAAAAAGAGTGTTTCAAAACTGCTCTTTGCAAAGAAAGGTTCAACTCTGTCAGTAGAGGGCACACATCACAAACAAGTTTCTGAGAATGCTTCTGTCTAGTTTTTATGGGAAGATATTTCCTTTTTCACCTTAGGCCTGAAAGCAATCCAAATGTTCACTTACAGACACTACAAAAAGAGTGTTTCAAACCTGCTCTGTGAAAGGGAGTGTTCAATTCTGTGACTTGAATGCAAACATCACAAAGTAGTTTCTGACAATGCTGCTGTCTGCTTTTTATACGTATTCCCGTTTCCAACGAAATCCTCCAAGCTGGCCTAATACCCACTTGCATATTCCACAAAAAGAGTGTTTCAAAACTGCTCTCTCAAAAGAAAGGTTCAACTCTGTTTGCTGAGTAGATACATCATGAAAAAAGTTCTGACATTGCTTCTATCTAGTTTTTATTGGAAGATATCTCCTTTTTCACCGTAGACCTGAAAGCGCTCCAAATGTCCACTTCCAGATAGTACAAAAAGTGTGTTTCAAACCTGCTCTATGAATGGGAATGTTCAACACTGGGACTTCAATTGAAACATCCCAAAGCAGTTTCTGAGAATGCTTCTGTCTAGAGTTTACATGAAGACATTCCCGTTTCCAACGAAATCCTCAAAGCTATCCAAATATCCTCTTGCAGATTTTACAAAAAGTGTGTTTCAGAACTGCTCTATCAAAACAAAGGTTCAACACTGTCAGTTGAGGGCACACATCACAAATAAGTTTCTGAGAATGCTGCTGTCTGCTTTTTGTATGTAATCCCGTTTCCAACGAAATCCTCCCAGCTAGCCAAATATCCACTTGCAGATTCCGCAAAAAGAGTGTTTCAAAACTGCTCCTTCAAAACGATGGTTTAGTTCTGTTAGTTGAGTACATACATCACAGATAAGTTTCTGAGAATGCTTCTGTCTAGTTTTTCTGGGAGGATATTTCCTTTTTCAACACAAGCCTGAATGCGCTCCGAATGGACACTTCCAGATATGACAAAAGGCGTGTTTCAAACCTGCTCTCTCAAAGGGAATGTTCAACTCTGTGACTTCAATGCAAACATCACAAAGAAGTTTCTGAGAATGCTGCTGTCTGCTTTTTACATGTATTCCCGTTTCCAACGAAATCCTCAAAGCTGCCCTAATATCCACTTGCATATTCCACAAAAAGAGTGTTGCAAAACTGCTCTCTCAAAAGAAAGGTTCAACTCTGTTAGCTGAGTAGATCCATCACATAAAAGTTTCTGACATTGCTTCTATCTAGATTTTCTTGGAAGATATTTCCATTTTCACCGTCGTCCTGAAAGCGCTCCAAATGTCCACTTCCAGGGAATGCAGAAAGAGTGTTTCCAACCTGCTCTATAAAAGGGAATGTTCAACACTGGGACTTCAATCGAAACATCCCAACGAAGTTTCTGAGAATGCTTCTGTCTAGAGTTTATATGAAGCCATTCCCGTTTGCAACGAAATCCTCAAAGCTATCCAAATATCCTCTTGCAGATTTTACAAAAAGAGTGTTTCAAAACTGCTCTATCAAAAGAAAGGTTCAACTCTGTTAGTTGAGGGCACACATCACAAATAAACTTCTGAGAATGCTTCTGTCTAGTTTTCATGGGAAGATATTTCCTTTTTCACCATAGGCCTGAAAGCGATCCAAATGTCCACATCCAGATACTACAAAAAGAGTGTTTCAAACCTGCTCTATGAAAGGGAATGTTCAACTCTGTGACTTGAATGCAAACATCACAAAGAAGTTTCTGAGAATGCTGCTGTCTCCTTTTTATATGTAATCCCGTTTCCAACGAAATCCTCAAAGCTAGCCAAATATCCACTTGCAGATTCCACGAAAACAGTGTTTCAAAACTGCTCCTTCAAAACGATGGTTCAATCCTGTTAGTTGAGCAAACACATCACAATTAAGTTTCTGAGAATGCTTCCGTCTAGTTTTTATGGGAAGATATTTCCTTTTTCAACATAGGCCTGAAAGCGCTCCAAATGTCCACTTCCAGATACTACAAAAAGAGTGTTTCAAATCTGCTCTATGAATGGGAATGTTCTACTCTGTGACTTGCATGCAACATCCCAAAGAAATTTCTGAGAATGCTTCTGTCTAGAGTTTATCTGAAGACATACCCGTTTCCAACGAAATCCTCAAAGCTATCCACATATCCTCTTGCAGATTCTACAAAAAGAGTGTTTCAAAGCTGCTCTTTGCAAAGAAAGGTTCAACTCTGTCAGTAGAGGGCACACATCACGAACAAGTTTCTGAGAATGCTTCTGTCTAGTTTTTATGGGAAGATATTTCCTTTTTCACGTTAGGCCTGAAAGCACGCCAAATGTTCACTTATAGACACTACAAAAAGAGTGTTTCAAACCTGCTCTGTGAAAGGGAATGTTCAACACTGTGACTTCAATTGAAACATCCCAAAGAAGTTTCTGAGAATGCTTCTGTCTAGAGTTTATCTGAAGACATTCCCGTTTCCCAAGAAATCCTCAAAGCTATCCAAATATCCTCTTGCAGATTCTACAAAAGGAGTGTTTCAAAACTGCTCTTTGCAAAGAAAGGTTCAACTCTGTCAGTAGAGGGCACACATCACAAACAAGTTTCTGAGAGTGCTTCTGTCTAGTTTTTATGGGAAGATATTTCCTTTTTCACCTTAAGCCTGAAAGCAATCCAAATGTTCACTTACAGACACTACAAAAAGAGTGTTTCAAACCTGCTCTGTGAAAGGGAGTGTTCAATTCTGTGACTTGAATGCAAACATCACAAAGTAGTTTCTGACAATGCTGCTGTCTGCTTTTTATACGTATTCCCGTTTCCAACGAAATCCTCCAAGCTGGCCTAATACCCACTTGCATATTCCACAAAAAGAGTGTTTCAAAACTGCTCTCTCAAAAGAAAGGTTCAACTCTGTGTGCTGAGTAGATACATCATGAAAAAAGTTCTGACATTGCTTCTATCTAGTTTTTATTGGAAGATATCTCCTTTTTCACCGTAGACCTGAAAGCGCTCCAAATGTCCACTTCCAGATAGTACAAAAAGAGTGTTTCAAACCTGCTCTATGAATGGGAATGTTCAACACTGGGACTTCAATTGAAACATCCCAAAGCAGTTTCTGAGAATGCTTTCTGTGTAGAGTTTACATGAAGACATTCCCGTTTCCAACGAAATCCTCAAAGCTATCCAAATATCCTCTTGCAGATTTTACAAAAAGTGTGTTTCAGAACTGCTCTATCAAAACAAAGGTTCAACACTGTCAGTTGAGGGCACACATCACAAATAAGTTTCTGAGAATGCTGCTGTCTGCTTTTTGTATGTAATCCCGTTTCCAACGAAATCCTCCCAGCTAGCCAAATATCCACTTGCAGATTCCGCAAAAAGAGTGTTTCAAAACTGCTCCTTCAAAACGATGGTTTAGTTCTGTTAGTTGAGTACATACATCACAGATAAGTTTCTGAGAATGCTTCTGTCTAGTTTTTATGGGAGGATATTTCCTTTTTCAACACAAGCCTGAATGCGCTCCGAATGGACACTTCCAGATATGACAAAAGGCGTGTTTCAAACCTGCTCTCTCAAAGGGAATGTTCAACTCTGTGACTTCAATGCAAACATCACAAAGAAGTTTCTGAGAATGCTGCTGTCTGCTTTTTACATGTATTCCCGTTTCCAACGAAATCCTCAAAGCTGCCCTAATATCCACTTGCATATTCCACAAAAAGAGTGTTGCAAAACTGCTCTCTCAAAAGAAAGCTTCAACTCTGTTAGCTGAGTAGATCCATCACATAAAAGTTTCTGACATTGCTTCTATCTAGATTTTCTTGGAAGATATTTCCATTTTCACCGTCGTCCTGAAAGCGCTCCAAATGTCCACTTCCAGGGAATGCAGAAAGAGTGTTTCCAACCTGCTCTATAAAAGGGAATGTTCAACACTGGGACTTCAATCGAAACATCCCAACGAAGTTTCTGAGAATGCTTCTGTCTAGAGTTTATATGAAGCCATTCCCGTTTGCAACGAAATCCTCAAAGCTATCCAAATATCCTCTTGCAGATTTTACAAAAAGAGTGTTTCAAAACTGCTCTATCAAAAGAAAGGTTCAACTCTGTTAGTTGAGGGCACACATCACAAATAAATTTCTGAGAATGCTTCTGTCTAGTTTTTACGGGAAGATATTTCCTTTTTCACCATAGGCCTGAAAGCGCTCCAAATGTCCTCATCCAGATACTACAAAAAGAGTGTTTCCAACCTGCTCTATGAAAGGGAATGCTCAACTCTGTGAATTGAATGCAGACATCACAAAGAAGTTTCTGAGAATGCTGCTGTCTCCTTTTTATATGTAATCCCGTTTCCAACGAAATCCTCAAAGCTAGCCAAATATCCACTTGCAGATTCCATGAAAACAGTGTTTCAAAACTGCTCCTTCAAAACGATGGTTCAATCCTGTTAGTTGAGCAAACACATCACAAATAAGTTTCTGAGAATGCTTCCGTCTAGTTTTTATGGGAAGATATTTCCTTTTTCAACATAGGCCTGAAAGCGCTCCAAATGTCCACTTCCAGATACTACAAAAAGAGTGTTTCAAATCTGCTCTATGAATGGGAATGTTCTACTCTGTGACTTGAATGCAACATCCCAAAGAAGTTTCTGAGAATGCTTCTGTCTAGAGTTTATCTGAAGACATACCCGTTTCCAACGAAATCCTCAAAGCTATCCAAATATCCTCTTGCAGATTCTACAAAAAGAGTGTTTCAAAGCTGCTCTTTGCAAAGAAAGGTTCAACTCTGTCAGTAGAGGGCACACATCATGAACAAGTTTCTGAGAATGCTTCTGTCTAGTTTTTATGGGAAGATATTTCCTTTTTCACGTTAGGCCTGAAAGCACGCCAAATGTTCACTTATAGACACTACAAAAAGAGTGTTTCAAACCTGCTCTGTGAAAGGGAATGTTCAACACTGTGACTTCAATTGAAACATCCCAAAGAAGTTTCTGAGAATGCTTCTGTCTAGAGTTTATCTGAAGACATTCCCGTTTCCCAAGAAATCCTCAAAGCTATCCAAATATCCTCTTGCAGATTCTACAAAAAGAGTGTTTCAAAACTGCTCTTTGCAAAGAAAGGTTCAACTCTGTCAGTAGAGGGCACACATCACAAACAAGTTTCTGAGAATGCTTCTGTCTAGTTTTTATGGGAAGATATTTCCTTTTTCACCTTAGGCCTGAAAGCAATCCAAATGTTCACTTACAGACACTACAAAAAGAGTGTTTCAAACCTGCTCTGTGAAAGGGAGTGTTCAATTCTGTGACTTGAATGCAAACATCACAAAGTAGTTTCTGACAATGCTGCTGTCTGCTTTTTATACGTATTCCCGTTTCCAACGAAATCCTCCAAGCTGGCCTAATACCCACTTGCATATTCCACAAAAAGAGTGTTTCAAAACTGCTCTCTCAAAAGAAAGGTTCAACTCTGTTTGCTGAGTAGATACATCATGAAAAAAGTTCTGACATTGCTTCTATCTAGTTTTTATTGGAAGATATCTCCTTTTTCACCGTAGACCTGAAAGCGCTCCAAATGTCCACTTCCAGATAGTACAAAAAGAGGGTTTCAAACCTGCTCTATGAAAGGGAATGTTCAACACTGGGACTTCAATTGAAACATCCCAAAGCAGTTTCTGAGAATGCTTCTGTCTAGAGTTTACATGAAGACATTCCCGTTTCCAACGAAATCCTCAAAGCTATCCAAATATCCTCTTGCAGATTTTACAAAAAGTGTGTTTCAGAACTGCTCTATCAAAACAAAGGTTCAACACTGTCAGTTGAGGGCACACATCACAAATAAGTTTCTGAGAATGCTGCTGTCTGCTTTTTGTATGTAATCCCGTTTCCAACGAAATCCTCCCAGCTAGCCAAATATCCACTTGCAGATTCCGCAAAAAGAGTGTTTCAAAACTGCTCCTTCAAAACGATGGTTTAGTTCTGTTAGTTGAGTACATACATCACAGATAAGTTTCTGAGAATGCTTCTGTCTAGTTTTTATGGGAGGATATTTCCTTTTTCAACACAAGCCTGAATGCGCTCCGAATGGACACTTCCAGATATGACAAAAGGCGTGTTTCAAACCTGCTCTCTCAAAGGGAATGTTCAACTCTGTGACTTCAATGCAAACATCACAAAGAAGTTTCTGAGAATGCTGCTGTCTGCTTTTTACATGTATTCCCGTTTCCAACGAAATCCTCAAAGCTGCCCTAATATCCACTTGCATATTCCACAAAAAGAGTGTTGCAAAACTGCTCTCTCAAAAGAAAGGTTCAACTCTGTTAGCTGAGTAGATCCATCACATAAAAGTTTCTGACGTTGCTTCTATCTAGATTTTATTGGAAGATATTTCCATTTTCACCGTCGTCCTGAAAGCGCTCCAAATGTCCACTTCCAGGGAATGCAGAAAGAGTGTTTCCAACCTGCTCTATAAAAGGGAATGTTCAACACTGGGACTTCAATCGAAACATCCCAACGAAGTTTCTGAGAATGCTTTCTGTCTAGAGTTTATATGAAGCCATTCCCGTTTGCAACGAAATCCTCAAAGCTATCCAAATATCCTCTTGCAGATTTTACAAAAAGAGTGTTTCAAAACTGCTCTATCAAAAGAAAGGTTCAACTGTGTTAGTTGAGGGCACACATCACAAATAAATTTCTGAGAATGCTTCTGTCTAGTTTTCATGGGAAGATATTTCCTTTTTCACCATAGGCCTGAAAGCGATCCAAATGTCCACATCCAGATACTACAAAAAGAGTGTTTCAAACCTGCTCTATGAAAGGGAATGTTCAACTCTGTGAATTGAATGCAGACATCACAAAGAAGTTTCTGAGAATGCTGCTGTCTCCTTTTTATATGTAATCCCGTATCCAACGAAATCCTCAAAGCTAGCCAAATATCCACTTGCAGATTCCACGAAAACAGTGTTTCAAAACTGCTCCTTCAAAACGATGGTTCAATCCTGTTAGTTGAGCAAACTCATCACAAATAAGTTTCTGAGAATGCTTCCGTCTAGTTTTTATGGGAAGATATTTCCTTTTTCAACATAGGCCTGAAAGCGCTCCAAATGTCCACTTCCAGATACTACAAAAAGAGTGTTTCAAATCTGCTCTATGAATGGGAATGTTCTACTCTGTGACTTGCATGCAACATCCCAAAGAAATTTCTGAGAATGCTTCTGTCTAGAGTTTATCTGAAGACATACCCGTTTCCAACGAAATCCTCCAAGCTATCCAAATATCCTCTTGCAGATTCTACAAAAAGTGTGTTTCAAAGCTGCTCTTTGCAAAGAAAGGTTCAACTCTGTCAGTAGAGGGCACACATCACGAACAAGTTTCTGAGAATGCTTCTGTCTAGTTTTTATGGGAAGATATTTCCTTTTTCACGTTAGGCCTGAAAGCACGCCAAATGTTCACTTATAGACACTACAAAAAGAGTGTTTCAAACCTGCTCTGTGAAAGGGAATGTTCAACACTGTGACTTCAATTGAAACATCCCAAAGAAGTTTCTGAGAATGCTTCTGTCTAGAGTTTATCTGAACACATTTCCCGTTTCCCAAGAAATCCTCAAAGCTATCCAAATATCCTCTTGCAGATTCTACAAAAAGAGTGTTTCAAAACTGCTCTTTGCAAAGAAAGGTTCAACTCTGTCAGTAGAGGGCACACATCACAAACAAGTTTCTGAGAATGCTTCTGTCTAGTTTTTATGGGAAGATATTTCCTTTTTCACCTTAGGCCTGAAAGCAATCCAAATGTTCACTTACAGACACTACAAAAAGAGTGTTTCAAACCTGCTCTGTGAAAGGGAGTGTTCAATTCTGTGACTTGAATGCAAACATCACAAAGTAGTTTCTGACAATGCTGCTGTCTGCTTTTTATACGTATTCCCGTTTCCAACGAAATCCTCCAAGCTGGCCTAATACCCACTTGCATATTCCACAAAAAGAGTGTTTCAAAACTGCTCTGTCAAAAGAAAGGTTCAGCTCTGTTTCCTGAGTAGATACATCATGAAAAAAGTTCTGACATTGCTTCTATCTAGTTTTTATTGGAGGATATCTCCTTTTTCACCGTAGACCTGAAAGCGCTCCAAATGTCCACTTCCAGATACTCCAAAAAGAGTGTTTCAAACCTGCTCTATGAAAGGGAATGTTCAACACTGGGACTTCAGTTGAAACATCCCAAAGCAGTTTCTGAGAATGCTTCTGTCTAGAGTTTACATGAAGACATTCCCGTTTCCAACGAAATCCTCAAAGCTATCCAAATATCCTCTTGCAGATTTTACAAAAAGTGTGTTTCAGAACTGCTCTATCAAAACAAAGGTGCAACACTGTCAGTTGAGGGCACACATCACAAATAAGTTTCTGAGAATGCTGCTGTCTGCTTTTTGTATGTAATCCCGTTTCCAACGAAATCCTCCCAGCTAGCCAAATATCCACTTGCAGATTCCGCAAAAAGAGTGTTTCAAAACTGCTCCTTCAAAACGATGGTTTAGTTCTGTTAGTTGAGTACATACATCACAGATAAGTTTCTGAGAATGCTTCTGTCTAGTTTTTATGGGAGGATATTTCCTTTTTCAACACAAGCCTGAATGCGCTCCGAATGGACACTTCCAGATATGACAAAAGGCGTGTTTCAAACCTGCTCTCTCAAAGGGAATGTTCAACTCTGTGACTTCAATGCAAACATCACAAAGAAGTTTCTGAGAATGCTGCTGTCTGCTTTTTACATGTATTCCCGTTTCCAACGAAATCCTCAAAGCTGCCCTAATATCCACTTGCATATTCCACAAAAAGAGTGTTGCAAAACTGCTCTCTCAAAAGAAAGGTTCAACTCTGTTAGCTGAGTAGATCCATCACAGAAAAGTTTCTGACGTTGCTCTATCCAGATTTTATTGGAAGATATTTCCATTTTCACCGTCGTCCTGAAAGCGCTCCAATTGTCCACTTCCAGGGAATGCAGAAAGAGTGTTTCCAACCTGCTCTATAAAAGGGAATGTTCAACACTGGGACTTCAATCGAAACATCCCGACGAAGTTTCTGAGAATGCTTTCTGTCTAGAGTTTATATGAAGCCATTCCCGTTTGCAACGAAATCCTCAAAGCTATCCAAATATCCTCTTGCAGATTTTACAAAAAGAGTGTTTCAAAACTGCTCTATCAAAAGAAAGGTTCAACTCTGTTAGTTGAGGGCACACAACACAAATAAATTTCTGAGAATGCTTCTGTCTAGTTTTCATGGGAAGATATTTCCTTTTTCACCATAGGCCTGAAAGCGATCCAAATGTCCACATCCAGATACTACAAAAAGAGTGTTTCAAACCTGCTCTATGAAAGGGAATGTTCAACTCTGTGACTTGAATGCAAACATCACAAAGAAGTTTCTGAGAATGCTGCTGTCTCCTTTTTATATGTAATCCCGTTTCCAACGAAATCCTCAAAGCTAGCCAAATATCCACTTGCAGATTCCACGAAAACAGTGTTTCAAAACTGCTCCTTCAAAACGATGGTTCAATTCTGTTAGTTGAGCAAACACATCACAAGTAAGTTTCTGAGAATGCTTCCGTCTAGTTTTTATGGGAAGATATTTCCTTTTTCAACATAGGCCTGAAAGCGCTCCAAATGTCCACTTCCAGATACTACAAAAAGAGTGTTTCAAATCTGCTCTATGCATGGGAATGTTCTACTCTGTGACTTGAATGCAACATCCCAAAGAAGTTTCTGAGAATGCTTCTGTCTAGAGTTTATCTGAAGACATACCCGTTTCCAACGAAATCCTCCAAGCTATCCAAATATCCTCTTGCAGATTCTACAAAAAGAGTGTTTCAAAGCTGCTCTTTGCAAAGAAAGGTTCAACTCTGTCAGTAGAGGGCACACATCACGAACAAGTTTCTGAGAATGCTTCTGTCTAGTTTTTATGGGAAGATATTTCCTTTTTCACGTTAGGCCTGAAAGCACGCCAAATGTTCACTTATAGACACTACAAAAAGAGTGTTTCAAACCTGCTCTGTGAAAGGGAATGTTCAACACTGTGACTTCAATTGAAACATCCCAAAGAAGTTTCTGAGAATGCTTCTGTCTAGAGTTTATCTGAAGACATTCCCGTTTCCCAAGAAATCCTCAAAGCTATCCAAATATCCTCTTGCAGATTCTACAAAAAGAGTGTTTCAAAACTGGTCTTTGCAAAGAAAGGTTCAACTCTGTCAGTAGAGGGCACACATCACAAACAAGTTTCTGAGAATGCTTCTGTCTAGTTTTTATGGGAAGATATTTCCTTTTTCACCTTAGGCCTGAAAGCAATCCATATGTTCACTTACAGACACTACAAAAAGAGTGTTTCAAACCTGCTCTGTGAAAGGGAGTGTTCAATTCTGTGACTTGAATGCAAAACCATCACAAAGTAGTTTCTGACAATGCTGCTGTCTGCTTTTTATACGGTATTCCCGTTTCCAACGAAATCCTCCAAGCTGGCCTAATACCCACTTGCATATTCCACAAAAAGAGTGTTTCAAAACTGCTCTCTCAAAAGAAAGGTTCAACTCTGTGTGCTGAGTAGATACATCATGAAAAAAGTTCTGACATTGCTTCTATCTAGTTTTTATTGGAAGATATCTCCTTTTTCACCGTAGACCTGAAAGCGCTCCAAATGTCCACTTCCAGATAGTACAAAAAGAGTGTTTCAAACCTGCTCTATGAAAGGGAATGTTCAACACTGGGACTTCAATTGAAACATCCCAAAGCAGTTTCTGAGAATGCTTCTGTCTAGAGTTTACATGAAGACATTCCCGTTTCCAACGAAATCCTCAAAGCTATCCAAATATCCTCTTGCAGATTTTACAAAAAGTGTGTTTCAGAACTGCTCTATCAAAACAAAGGTTCAACACTGTCAGTTGAGGGCACACATCACAAATAAGTTTCTGAGAATGCTGCTGTCTGCTTTTTGTATGTAATCCCGTTTCCAACGAAATCCTCCCAGCTAGCCAAATATCCACTTGCAGATTCCGCAAAAAGAGTGTTTCAAAACTGCTCCTTCAAAACGATGGTTTAGTTCTGTTAGTTGAGTACATACATCACAGATAAGTTTCTGAGAATGCTTCTGTCTAGTTTTTATGGGAGGATATTTCCTTTTTCAACACAAGCCTGAATGCGCTCCGAATGGACACTTCCAGATATGACAAAAGGCGTGTTTCAAACCTGCTCTCTCAAAGGGAATGTTCAACTCTGTGACTTCAATGCAAACATCACAAAGAAGTTTCTGAGAATGCTGCTGTCTGCTTTTTACATGTATTCCCGTTTCCAACGAAATCCTCAAAGCTGCCCTAATATCCACTTGCATATTCCACAAAAAGAGTGTTGCAAAACTGCTCTCTCAAAAGAAAGGTTCAACTCTGTTAGCTGAGTAGATCCATCACAGAAAAGTTTCTGACGTTGCTTCTATCTAGATTTTCTTGGAAGATATTTCCATTTTCACCGTCGTCCTGAAAGCGCTCCAAATGTCCACTTCCAGGGAATGCAGAAAGAGTGTTTCCAACCTGCTCTATAAAAGGGAATGTTCAACACTGGGACTTCAATCGAAACATCCCAACGAAGTTTCTGAGAATGCTTCTGTCTAGAGTTTATATGAAGCCATTCCCGTTTGCAACGAAATCCTCAAAGCTATCCAAATATCCTCTTGCAGATTTTACAAAAAGAGTGTTTCAAAACTGCTCTATCAAAAGAAAGGTTCAACTCTGTTAGTTGAGGGCACACATCACAAATAAATTTCTGAGAATGCTTCTGTCTAGTTTTTACGGGAAGATATTTCCTTTTTCACCATAGGCCTGAAAGCGCTCCAAATGTCCTCATCCAGATACTACAAAAAGAGTGTTTCCAACCTGCTCTATGAAAGGGAATGCTCAACTCTGTGAATTGAATGCAGACATCACAAAGAAGTTTCTGAGAATGCTGCTGTCTCCTTTGTATATGTAATCCCATTTCCAACGAAATCCTCAAAGCTAGCCAAATATCCACTTGCAGATTCCACGAAAACAGTGTTTCAAAACTGCTCCTTCAAAACGATGGTTCAATCCTGTTAGTTGAGCAAACACATCACAAATAAGTTTCTGAGAATGCTTCCGTCTAGTTTTTATGGGAAGATATTTCCTTTTTCAACATAGGCCTGAAAGCGCTCCAAATGTCCACTTCCAGATACTACAAAAAGAGTGTTTCAAATCTGCTCTATGAATGGGAATGTTCTACTCTGTGACTTGAATGCAACATCCCAAAGAAGTTTCTGAGAATGCTTCTGTCTAGAGTTTATCTGAAGACATACCCGTTTCCAACGAAATCCTCAAAGCTATCCAAATATCCTCTTGCAGATTCTACAAAAAGAGTGTTTCAAAGCTGCTCTTTGCAAAGAAAGGTTCAACTCTGTCAGTAGAGGGCACACATCACGAACAAGTTTCTGAGAATGCTTCTGTCTAGTTTTTATGGGAAGATATTTCCTTTTTCACGTTACGCCTGAAAGCACGCCAAATGTTCACTTATAGACACTACAAAAAGAGTGTTTCAAACCTGCTCTGTGAAAGGGAATGTTCAACACTGTGACTTCAATTGAAACATCCCAAAGAAGTTTCTGAGAATGCTTCTGTCTAGAGTTTATCTGAAGACATTCCCGTTTCCCAAGAAATCCTCAAAGCTATCCAAATATCCTCTTGCAGATTCTACAAAAAGAGTGTTTCAAAACTGCTCTTTGCAAAGAAAGGTTCAACTCTGTCAGTAGAGGGCACACATCACAAACAAGTTTCTGAGAATGCTTCTGTCTAGTTTTTATGGGAAGATATTTCCTTTTTCACCTTAGGCCTGAAAGCAATCCATATGTTCACTTACAGACACTACAAAAAGAGTGTTTCAAACCTGCTCTGTGAAAGGGAGTGTTCAATTCTGTGACTTGAATGCAAACATCACAAAGTAGTTTCTGACAATGCTGCTGTCTGCTTTTTATACGTATTCCCGTTTCCAACGAAATCCTCCAAGCTGGCCTAATACCCACTTGCATATTCCACAAAAAGAGTGTTTCAAAACTGCTCTCTCAAAAGAAAGGTTCAACTCTGTTTGCTGAGTAGATACATCATGAAAAAAGTTGCTGACATTGCTTTCTATCTAGTTTTTATTGGAAGATATCTCCTTTTTCACCGTAGACCTGAAAGCGCTCCAAATGTCCACTTCCAGATAGTACAAAAAGAGTGTTTCAAACCTGCTCTATGAATGGGAATGTTCAACACTGGGACTTCAATTGAAACATCCCAAAGCAGTTTCTGAGAATGCTTCTGTGTAGAGTTTACATGAAGACATTCCCGTTTCCAACGAAATCCTCAAAGCTATCCAAATATCCTCTTGCAGATTTTACAAAAAGTGTGTTTCAGAACTGCTCTATCAAAACAAAGGTTCAACACTGTCAGTTGAGGGCACACATCACAAATAAGTTTCTGAGAATGCTGCTGTCTGCTTTTTGTATGTAATCCCGTTTCCAACGAAATCCTCCCAGCTAGCCAAATATCCACTTGCAGATTCCGCAAAAAGAGTGTTTCAAAACTGCTCCTTCAAAACGATGGTTTAGTTCTGTTAGTTGAGTACATACATCACAGATAAGTTTCTGAGAATGCTTCTGTCTAGTTTTTATGGGAGGATATTTCCTTTTTCAACACAAGCCTGAATGCGCTCCGAATGGACACTTCCAGATATGACAAAAGGCGTGTTTCAAACCTGCTCTCTCAAAGGGAATGTTCAACTCTGTGACTTCAATGCAAACATCACAAAGAAGTTTCTGAGAATGCTGCTGTCTGCTTTTTACATGTATTCCCGTTTCCAACGAAATCCTCAAAGCTGCCCTAATATCCACTTGCATATTCCACAAAAAGAGTGTTGCAAAACTGCTCTCTCAAAAGAAAGGTTCAACTCTGTTAGCTGAGTAGATCCATCACAGAAAAGTTTCTGACGTTGCTTCTATCTAGATTTTCTTGGAAGATATTTCCATTTTCACCGTCGTCCTGAAAGCGCTCCAAATGTCCACTTCCAGGGAATGCAGAAAGAGTGTTTCCAACCTGCTCTATAAAAGGGAATGTTCAACACTGGGACTTCAATCGAAACATCCCAACGAAGTTTCTGAGAATGCTTCTGTCTAGAGTTTATATGAAGCCATTCCCGTTTGCAACGAAATCCTCAAAGCTATCCAAATATCCTCTTGCAGATTTTACAAAAAGAGTGTTTCAAAACTGCTCTATCAAAAGAAAGGTTCAACTCTGTTAGTTGAGGGCACACATCACAAATAAATTTCTGAGAATGCTTCTGTCTAGTTTTCATGGGAAGATATTTCCTTTTTCACCATAGGCCTGAAAGCGATCCAAATGTCCACATCCAGATACTACAAAAAGAGTGTTTCAAACCTGCTCTATGAAAGGGAATGTTCAACTCTGTGACTTGAATGCAAACATCACAAAGAAGTTTCTGAGAATGCTGCTGTCTGCTTTTTGTATGTAATCCCGTTTCCAACGAAATCCTCCCAGCTAGCCAAATATCCACTTGCAGATTCCGCAAAAAGAGTGTTTCAAAACTGCTCCTTCAAAACGATGGTTTAGTTCTGTTAGTTGAGTACATACATCACAGATAAGTTTCTGAGAATGATCTGTCTAGTTTTTATGGGAGGATATTTCCTTTTTCAACACAAGCCTGAATGCGCTCCGAATGGACACTTCCAGATATGACAAAAGGCGTGTTTCAAACCTGCTCTCTCAAAGGGAATGTTCAACTCTGTGACTTCAATGCAAACATCACAAAGAAGTTTCTGAGAATGCTGGCTGTCTGCTTTTTACATGTATTCCCGTTTCCAACGAAATCCTCAAAGCTGCCCTAATATCCACTTGCATATTCCACAAAAAGAGTGTTGCAAAACTGCTCTCTCAAAAGAAAGGTTCAACTCTGTTAGCTGAGTAGATCCATCACATAAAAGTTTCTGACATTGCTTCTATCTAGATTTTCTTGGAAGATATTTCCATTTTCACCGTCGTCCTGAAAGCGCTCCAAATGTCCACTTCCAGGGAATGCAGAAAGAGTGTTTCCAACCTGCTCTATAAAAGGGAATGTTCAACACTGGGACTTCAATCGAAACATCCCAACGAAGTTTCTGAGAATGCTTCTGTCTAGAGTTTATATGAAGCCATTCCCGTTTGCAACGAAATCCTCAAGCTATCCAAATATCCTCTTGCAGATTTTACAAAAAGAGTGTTTCAAAACTGCTCTATCAAAAGAAAGGTTCAACTCTGTTAGTTGAGGGCACACATCACAAATAAATTTCTGAGAATGCTTCTGTCTAGTTTTCAGGGGAAGATATTTCCTTTTTCACCATAGGCCTGAAAGCGCTCCAAATGTCCACATCCAGATACTACAAAAAGAGTGTTTCAAACCTGCTCTATGAAAGGGAATGTTAAACTCTGTGACTTGAATGCAAACATCGCAAAGATGTTTCTGGGAATGCTGCTGTCTGCTTTTTATTTGTAATCCCGTTTCCAACGAAATCCTCAATGCTAGACAAATATCGACTTGCAGATTCCAGAAAAAGAGTGTTTCAAAATTGCTCTTTCAAAACGATGGTTCAATTCTGTTAGTTGAGTACACACATCACAAATAAGTTTCAGAGAATGCTTCTGTCTAGTTTTTATGAGAGGATATTTCCTTTTTCAACACAAGCCGGAATGTGCTCCAAATGGACAGCTTCCAGACATGACAAAAGGCGTGTTTCAAACCTGCTCTCTCAAATGGAATGTTCAACACTGGGACTTCAATGGAAACATCACAAAGAAGTTTCTGAGACTGCTTCTGTCTAGAGTTTATCTGAAGACATACCCGTTTCCAACGAAATCCTCCAAGCTATCCAAATATCCTCTTGCAGATTCTACAAAAAGAGTGTTTCAAAGCTGCTCTTTGCAAAAAAAGGTTCAACTCTGTCACTAGAGGGCACACATCATGAACAAGTTTCTGAGAATGCTTCTGTCTAGCTTTTATGGGAAGATATTTCCTTTTTCACGTTAGGCCTGAAAGCACGCCAAATGTTCACTTATAGACACTACAAAAAGAGTGTTTCAAACCTGCTCTGTGAAAGGGAATGTTCAACACTGTGACTTCAATTGAAACATCCCAAAGAAGTTTCTGAGAATGCTTCTGTCTAGAGTTTATCTGAAGACATACCCGTTTCCAACGAAATCCTCAAAGCTATCCACATATCCTCTTGCAGATTCTACAAAAAGAGTGTTTCAAAGCTGCTCTTTGCAAAGAAAGTTTCAACTCTGTCAGTAGAGGGCACACATCACGAACAAGTTTCTGAGAATGCTTCTGTCTAGTTTTTATGGGAAGATATTTCCTTTTTCACGTTAGGCCTGAAAGCACGCCAAATGTTCACTTATAGACACTACAAAAAGAGTGTTTCAAACCTGCTCTGTGAAAGGGAATGTTCAACACTGTGACTTCAATTGAAACATCCCAAAGAAGTTTCTGAGAATGCTTCTGTCTAGAGTTTATCTGAAGACATTCCCGTTTCCCAAGAAATCCTCAAAGCTATCCAAATATCCTCTTGCAGATTCTACAAAAAGAGTGTTTCAAAACTGCTCTTTGCAAAGAAAGGTTCAACTCTGTCAGTAGAGGGCACACATCACAAACAAGTTTCTGAGAATGCTTCTGTCTAGTTTTTATGGGAAGATATTTCCTTTTTCACCTTAGGCCTGAAAGCAATCCAAATGTTCACTTACAGACACTACAAAAAGAGTGTTTCAAACCTGCTCTGTGAAAGGGAGTGTTCAATTCTGTGACTTGAATGCAAACATCACAAAGTAGTTTCTGACAATGCTGCTGTCTGCTTTTTATACGTATTCCCGTTTCCAACGAAATCCTCCAAGCTGGCCTAATACCCACTTGCATATTCCACAAAAAGAGTGTTTCAAAACTGCTCTCTCAAAAGAAAGGTTCAACTCTGTTTGCTGAGTAGATACATCATGAAAAAAGTTCTGACATTGCTTCTATCTAGTTTTTATTGGAAGATATCTCCTTTTTCACCGTAGACCTGAAAGCGCTCAAAATGTCCACTTCCAGATAGTACAAAAAGAGTGTTTCAAACCTGCTCTATGAATGGGAATGTTCAACACTGGGACTTCAATTGAAACATCCCAAAGCAGTTTCTGAGAATGCTTCTGTCTAGAGTTTACATGAAGACATTCCCGTTTCCAACGAAATCCTCAAAGCTATCCAAATATCCTCTTGCAGATTTTACAAAAAGTGTGTTTCAGAACTGCTCTATCAAAACAAAGGTTCAACACTGTCAGTTGAGGGCACACATCACAAATAAGTTTACTGAGAATGCTTGCTGTCTGCTTTTTATATGTAATCCCGTTTCCAACGAAATCCTCCAAGCTAGGCAAATATCCACTTGCAGATTCCGCAAAAAGAGTGTTTCAACACTGCTCCTTCAAAACGATGGTTTAGTTCTGTTAGTTGAGTACATACATCACAAATAAGTTTCTGTGAATGCTTCTGTCTAGTTTTTATGGGAGGATATTTCCTTTTTCAACACAAGCCTGAATGCGCTCCGAATGGACACTTCCAGATATGACAAAAGGCGTGTTTCAAACCTGCTCTCTCAAAGGGAATGTTCAACTCTGTGACTTCAATGCAAACATCACAAAGAAGTTTCTGAGAATGCTGCTGTCTGCTTTTTACATATATTCCCGTTTCCAACGAAATCCTCAAAGCTGCCCTAATATCCACTTGCATATTCCACAAAAAGAGTGTTGCAAAACTGCTCTCTCAAAAGAAAGGTTCAAATCTGTTAGCTGAGTAGATCCATCACATAAAAGTTTCTCACATTGCTTCTATCTAGATTTTATTGGAAGATATTTCCTTTTTCACCGTCGTCCTGAAAGCGCTCCAAATGTCCACTTCCAGGGAATGCAAAAAGAGTGTTTCCAACCTGCTCTGTAAAAGTGAATGTTCAACACTGGGACTTCAATCGAAACATTCCAACGAAGTCTCTGAGAATGCTTCTGTCTAGAGTTTATATGAAGCCATTCCCGTTTGCAACGAAATCCTCAAAGCTATCCAAATATCCTCTTGCAGATTTTACAAAAAGAGTGTTTCAAAACTGCTCTATCGAAAGAAAGGTTCAACTCGGTTTGTTGATGGCACACATCACAAATAAATTTCTGAGAATGCTTCTGTCTAGTTTTTACGGGAAGATATTTCCTTTTTCACCATACGCCTGAAAGCGCTCCAAATGTCCTCATGCAGATACTACAAAGAGAGTGTTTCAAACCTGCTCTATAAAAGGGAATGCTCAACTCTGTGACTTGAATGCAACATCCCAAAGCAGTTTCTGAGAATGCTTCTGTCTAGAGTTTATCTGAAGACATTCCCGTTTCCCAAGAAATACTCAAATCTATCCAAATATCCTCTTGCAGATTCTACAAAAAGAGGGTTTCAAAACTGCTCTTTGCAAAGAAAGGTTCCACTCTGTCAGTAGAGGGCACACATCACAAACAAGTTTCTGAGAATGCTTCCGTCTAGTTTTTATGGGAAGATATTTCCTTTTTCAACATAGGCCTGAAAGCGCTCCAAATGTCCACTTCCAGATACTACAAAAAGAGTGTTTCAAATCTGCTCTATGAATGGGAATGTTCTACTCTGTGACTTGAATGCAACATCCCAAAGAAGTTTCTGAGAATGCTTCTGTCTAGAGTTTATCTGAAGACATACCCGTTTCCAACGAAATCCTCAAAGCTATCCACATATCCTCTTGCAGATTCTACAAAAAGAGTGTTTCAAAGCTGCTCTTTGCAAAGAAAGGTTCAACTCTGTCAGTAGAGGGCACACATCACGAACAAGTTTCTGAGAATGCTTCTGTCTAGTTTTTATGGGAAGATATTTCCTTTTTCACGTTAGGCCTGAAAGCACGCCAAATGTTCACTTATAGACACTACAAAAAGAGTGTTTCAAACCTGCTCTGTGAAAGGGAATGTTCAACACTGTGACTTCAATTGAAACATCCCAAAGAAGTTTCTGAGAATGCTTCTGTCTAGAGTTTATCTGAAGACATTCCCGTTTCCCAAGAAATCCTCAAAGCTATCCAAATATCCTCTTGCAGATTCTACAAAAAGAGTGTTTCAAAACTGGTCTTTGCAAAGAAAGGTTCAACTCTGTCAGTAGAGGGCACACATCACAAACAAGTTTCTGAGAATGCTTCTGTCTAGTTTTTATGGGAAGATATTTCCTTTTTCACCTTAGGCCTGAAAGCAATCCAAATGTTCACTTACAGACACTACAAAAAGAGTGTTTCAAACCTGCTCTGTGAAAGGGAGTGTTCAGTTCTGTGACTTGAATGCAAACATCACAAAGTAGTTTCTGACAATGCTGCTGTCTGCTTTTTATACGTATTCCCGTTTCCAACGAAATCCTCCAAGCTGGCCTAATACCCACTTGCATATTCCACAAAAAGAGTGTTTCAAAACTGCTCTCTCAAAAGAAAGGTTCAACTCTGTTTGCTGAGTAGATACATCATGAAAAAAGTTCTGACATTGCTTCTATCTAGTTTTTATTGGAAGATATCTCCTTTTTCACCGTAGACCTGAAAGCGCTCCAAATGTCCACTTCCAGATAGTACAAAAAGAGTGTTTCAAACCTGCTCTATGAAAGGGAATGTTCAACACTGGGACTTCAATTGAAACATCCCAAAGCAGTTTCTGAGAATGCTTCTGTCTAGAGTTTACATGAAGACATTCCCGTTTCCAACGAAATCCTCAAAGCTATCCAAATATCCTCTTGCAGATTTTACAAAAAGTGTGTTTCAGAACTGCTCTATCAAAACAAAGGTTCAACACTGTCAGTTGAGGGCACACATCACAAATAAGTTTCTGAGAATGCTTCTGTCTAGTTTTCATGGGAAGATATTTCCTTTTTCACCATAGGCCTGAAAGCGATCCAAATGTCCGCATCCAGATACTACAAAAAGAGTGTTTCAAACCTGCTCTATGAAAGGGAATGTTCAACTCTGTGACTTGAATGCAAACATCACAAAGAAGTTTCTGAGAATGCTGCTGTCTCCTTTTTATATGTAATCCCGTTTCCAACGAAATCCTCAAAGCTAGCCAAATATCCACTTGCAGATTCCACGAAAACAGTGTTTCAAAACTGCTCCTTCAAAACGATGGTTCAATCCTGTTAGTTGAGCAAACACATCACAATTAAGTTTCTGAGAATGCTTCCGTCTAGTTTTTATGGGAAGATATTTCCTTTTTCAACATAGGCCTGAAAGCGCTCCAAATGTCCACTTCCAGATACTACAAAAAGAGTGTTTCAAATCTGCTCTATGAATGGGAATGTTCTACTCTGTGACTTGAATGCAACATCCCAAAGAAGTTTCTGAGAATGCTTCTGTCTAGAGTTTATCTGAAGACATACCCGTTTCCAACGAAATCCTCAAAGCTATCCAAATATCCTCTTGCAGATTCTACAAAAAGTGTGTTTCAAAGCTGCTCTTTGCAAAGAAAGGTTCAACTCTGTCAGTAGAGGGGACACATCACGAACAAGTTTCTGAGAATGCTTCTGTCTAGTTTTTATGGGAAGATATTTCCTTTTTCACGTTAGGCCTGAAAGCACGCCAAATGTTCACTTATAGACACTACAAAAAGAGTGTTTCAAACCTGCTCTGTGAAAGGGAATGTTCAACACTGTGACTTCAATTGAAATATCCCAAGAAGTTTCTGAGAATGCTTCTGTCTAGAGTTTATCTGAAGACATTCCCGTTTCCCAAGAAATCCTCAAAGCTATCCAAATATCCTCTTGCAGATTCTACAAAAAGAGTGTTTCAAAACTGCTCTTTGCAAAGAAAGGTTCAACTCTGTCAGTAGAGGGCACACATCACAAACAAGTTTCTGAGAATGCTTCTGTCTAGTTTTTATGGGAAGATATTTCCTTTTTCACCTTAGGCCTGAAAGCAATCCAAATGTTCACTTACAGACACTACAAAAAGAGTGTTTCAAACCTGCTCTGTGAAAGGGAGTGTTCAATTCTGTGACTTGAATGCAAACATCACAAAGTAGTTTCTGACAATGCTGCTGTCTGCTTTTTATACGTATTCCCGTTTCCAACGAAATCCTCCAAGCTGGCCTAATACCCACTTGCATATTCCACAAAAAGAGTGTTTCAAAACTGCTCTCTCAAAAGAAAGGTTCAACTCTGTTAGCTGAGTAGATACATCATGAAAAAAGTTCTGACATTGCTTCTATCTAGTTTTTATTGGAAGATATCTCCTTTTTCACCGTAGACCTGAAAGCGCTCCAAATGTCCACTTCCAGATAGTACAAAAAGAGTGTTTCAAACCTGCTCTATGAATGGGAATGTTCAACACTGGGACTTCAATTGAAACATCCCAAAGCAGTTTCTGAGAATGCTTCTGTGTAGAGTTTACATGAAGACATTCCCGTTTCCAACGAAATCCTCAAAGCTATCCAAATATCCTCTTGCAGATTTTACAAAAAGTGTGTTTCAGAACTGCTCTATCAAAACAAAGGTTCAACACTGTCAGTTGAGGGCACACATCACAAATAAGGTTTCTGAGAATGCTGCTCTCTGCTTTTTGTATGTAATCCCGTTTCCAACGAAATCCTCCCAGCTAGCCAAATATCCACTTGCAGATTCCGCAAAAAGAGTGTTTCAAAACTGCTCCTTCAAAACGATGGTTTAGTTCCTGTTAGTTGAGTACATACATCACAGATAAGTTTCTGAGAATGCTTATCTGTCTAGTTTTTATGGGAGGATATTTCCTTTTTCAACACAAGCCTGAATGCGCTCCGAATGGACACTTCCAGATATGACAAAAGGCGTGTTTCAAACCTGCTCTCTCAAAGGGAATGTTCAACTCTGTGACTTCAATGCAAACATCACAAAGAAGTTTCTGAGAATGCTGCTGTCTGCTTTTTACATGTATTCCCGTTTCCAACGAAATCCTCAAAGCTGCCCTAATATCCACTTGCATATTCCACAAAAAGAGTGTTGCAAAACTGCTCTCTCAAAAGAAAGGTTCAACTCTGTTAGCTGAGTAGATCCATCACATAAAAGTTTCTGACGTTGCTTCTATCTAGATTTTCTTGGAAGATATTTCCATTTTCACCGTCGTCCTGAAAGCGCTCCAAATGTCCACTTCCAGGGAATGCAGAAAGAGTGTTTCCAACCTGCTCTATAAAAGGGAATGTTCAACACTGGGACTTCAATCGAAACATCCCAACGAAGTTTCTGAGAATGCTTCTGTCTAGAGTTTATATGAAGCCATTCCCGTTTGCAACGAAATCCTCAAAGCTATCCAAATATCCTCTTGCAGATTTTACAAAAAGAGTGTTTCAAAACTGCTCTATCAAAAGAAAGGTTCAACTCTGTTAGTTGAGGGCACACATCACAAATAAATTTCTGAGAATGCTTCTGTCTAGTTTTTACGGGAAGATATTTCCTTTTTCACCATACGCCTGAAAGCGCTCCAAATGTCCTCATCCAGATACTACAAAAAGAGTGTTTCCAACCTGCTCTATGAAAGGGAATGCTCAACTCTGTGAATTGAATGCAGACATCACAAAGAAGTTTCTGAGAATGCTGCTGTCTCCTTTTTATATGTAATCCCGTTTCCAACGAAATCCTCAAAGCTAGCCAAATATCCACTTGCAGATTCCACGAAAACAGTGTTTCAAAACTGCTCCTTCAAAACGATGGTTCAATTCTGTTAGTTGAGCAAACACATCACAAGTAAGTTTCTGAGAATGCTTCCGTCTAGTTTTTATGGGAAGATATTTCCTTTTTCAACATAGGCCTGAAAGCGCTCCAAATGTCCACTTCCAGATACTACAAAAAGAGTGTTTCAAATCTGCTCTATGAATGGGAATGTTCTACTCTGTGACTTGAATGCAACATCCCAAAGAAGTTTCTGAGAATGCTTCTGTCTAGAGTTTATCTGAAGACATACCCGTTTCTAACGAAATCCTCCAAGCTATCCAAATATCCTCTTGCAGATTCTACAAAAAGAGTGTTTCAAAGCTGCTCTTTGCAAAGAAAGGTTCAACTCTGTCAGTAGAGGGGACACATCAAGAACAAGTTTCTGAGAATGCTTCTGTCTGGTTTTTATGGGAAGATATTTCCTTTTTCACGTTACGCCTGAAAGCACGCCAAATGTTCACTTATAGACACTACAAAAAGAGTGTTTCAAACCTGCTCTGTGAAAGGGAATGTTCAACACTGTGACTTCAATTGAAACATCCCAAAGAAGTTTCTGAGAATGCTTCTGTCTAGAGTTTATCTGAAGACATTCCCGTTTCCCAAGAAATCTTCAAAGCTATCCAAATATCCTCTTGCAGATTCTACAAAAAGAGTGTTTCAAAACTGCTCTTTGCAAAGAAAGGTTCAACTCTGTCAGTAGAGGGCACACATCACAAACAAGTTTCTGAGAATGCTTCTGTCTAGTTTTTATGGGAAGATATTTCCTTTTTCACCTTAGGCCTGAAAGCAATCCAAATGTTCACTTACAGACACTACAAAAAGAGTGTTTCAAACCTGCTCTGTGAAAGGGAGTGTTCAATTCTGTGACTTGAATGCAAACATCACAAAGTAGTTTCTGACAATGCTGCTGTCTGCTTTTTATACGTATTCCCGTTTCCAACGAAATCCTCCAAGCTGGCCTAATACCCACTTGCATATTCCACAAAAAGAGTGTTTCAAAACTGCTCTCTCAAAAGAAAGGTTCAACTCTGTTTGCTGAGTAGATACATCATGAAAAAAGTTCTGACATTGCTTCTATCTAGTTTTTATTGGAAGATATCTCCTTTTTCACCGTAGACCTGAAAGCGCTCCAAATGTCCACTTCCAGATATTACAAAAAGAGTGTTTCAAACCTGCTCTATGAATGGGAATGTTCAACACTGGGACTTCAATTGAAACATCCCAAAGCAGTTTCTGAGAATGCTTCTGTCTAGAGTTTACATGAAGACATTCCCGTTTCCAACGAAATCCTCAAAGCTATCCAAATATCCTCTTGCAGATTTTACAAAAAGTGTGTTTCAGAACTGCTCTATCAAAACAAAGGTTCAACACTGTCAGTTGAGGGCACACATCACAAATAAGTTTCTGAGAATGCTGCTGTCTGCTTTTTGTATGTAATCCCGTTTCCAACGAAATCCTCCCAGCTAGCCAAATATCCACTTGCAGATTCCGCAAAAAGAGTGTTTCAAAACTGCTCCTTCAAAACGGTGGTTTAGTTCTGTTAGTTGAGTACATACATCACAGATAAGTTTCTGAGAATGCTTCTGTCTAGTTTTTCTGGGAGGATATTTCCTTTTTCAACACAAGCCTGAATGCGCTCCGAATGGACACTTCCAGATATGACAAAAGGCGTGTTTCAAACCTGCTCTCTCAAAGGGAATGTTCAACTCTGTGACTTCAATGCAAACATCACAAAGAAGTTTCTGAGAATGCTGCTGTCTGCTTTTTACATGTATTCCCGTTTCCAACGAAATCCTCAAAGCTGCCCTAATATCCACTTGCATATTCCACAAAAAGAGTGTTGCAAAACTGCTCTCTCAAAAGAAAGGTTCAACTCTGTTAGCTGAGTAGATCCATCACATAAAAGTTTCTGACGTTGCTTCTATCTAGATTTTCTTGGAAGATATTTCCATTTTCACCGTCGTCCTGAAAGCGCTCCAAATGTCCACTTCCAGGGAATGCAGAAAGAGTGTTTCCAACCTGCTCTATAAAAGGGAATGTTCAACACTGGGACTTCAATCGAAACATCCCAACGAAGTTTCTGAGAATGCTTCTGTCTAGAGTTTATATGAAGCCATTCCCGTTTGCAACGAAATCCTCAAAGCTATCCAAATATCCTCTTGCAGATTTTACAAAAAGAGTGTTTCAAAACTGCTCTATCAAAAGAAAGGTTCAACTCTGTTAGTTGAGGGCACACATCACAAATAAATTTCTGAGAATGCTTCTGTCTAGTTTTCATGGGAAGATATTTCCTTTTTCACCATAGGCCTGAAAGCGATCCAAATGTCCACATCCAGATACTACAAAAAGAGTGTTTCAAACCTGCTCTATGAAAGGGAATGTTCAACTCTGTGACTTGAATGCAAACATCACAAAGAAGTTTCTGAGAATGCTGCTGTCTCCTTTTTATATGTAATCCCGTTTCCAACGAAATCCTCAAAGCTAGCCAAATATCCACTTGCAGATTCCACGAAAACAGTGTTTCAAAACTGCTCCTTCAAAACGATGGTTCAATCCTGTTAGTTGAGCAAACACATCACAAATAAGTTTCTGAGAATGCTTCCGTCTAGTTTTTATGGGAAGATATTTCCTTTTTCAACATAGGCCTGAAAGCGCTCCAAATGTCCACTTCCAGATACTACAAAAAGAGTGTTTCAAATCTGCTCTATGAATGGGAATGTTCTACTCTGTGACTTGAATGCAACATCCCAAAGAAGTTTCTGAGAATGCTTCTGTCTAGAGTTTATCTGAAGACATACCCGTTTCCAACGAAATCCTCAAAGCTATCCAAATATCCTCTTGCAGATTCTACAAAAAGAGTGTTTCAAAGCTGCTCTTTGCAAAGAAAGGTTCAACTCTGTCAGTAGAGGGCACACATCACGAACAAGTTTCTGAGAATGCTTCTGTCTAGTTTTTATGGGAAGATATTTCCTTTTTCACGTTAGGCCTGAAAGCACGCCAAATGTTCACTTATAGACACTACAAAAAGAGTGTTTCAAACCTGCTCTGTGAAAGGGAATGTTCAACACTGTGACTTCAATTGAAACATCCCAAAGAAGTTTCTGAGAATGCTTCTGTCTAGAGTTTATCTGAAGACATTCCCGTTTCCCAAGAAATCCTCAAAGCTATCCAAATATCCTCTTGCAGATTCTACAAAAAGAGTGTTTCAAAACTGCTCTTTGCAAAGAAAGGTTCAACTCTGTCAGTAGAGGGCACACATCACAAACAAGTTTCTGAGAATGCTTCTGTCTAGTTTTTATGGGAAGATATTTCCTTTTTCACCTTAGGCCTGAAAGCAATCCAAATGTTCACTTACAGACACTACAAAAAGAGTGTTTCAAACCTGCTCTGTGAAAGGGAGTGTTCAGTTCTGTGACTTGAATGCAAACATCACAAAGTAGTTTCTGACAATGCTGCTGTCTGCTTTTTATACGTATTCCCGTTTCCAACGAAATCCTCCAAGCTGGCCTAATACCCACTTGCATATTCCACAAAGACAGTGTCAAAACTGCTCTCTCAAAAGAAAGGTTCAACTCTGTTTGCTGAGTAGATACATCATGAAAAAAGTTCTGACATTGCTTCTATCTAGTTTTTATTGGAAGATATCTCCTTTTTCACCGTAGACCTGAAAGCGCTCCAAATGTCCACTTCCAGATAGTACAAAAAGAGTGCTTCAAACCTGCTCTATGAATGGGAATGTTCAACACTGGGACTTCAATTGAAACATCCCAAAGCAGTTTCTGAGAATGCTTCTGTGTAGAGTTTACATGAAGACATTCCCGTTTCCAACGAAATCCTCAAAGCTATCCAAATATCCTCTTGCAGATTTTACAAAAAGTGTGTTTCAGAACTGCTCTATCAAAACAAAGGTTCAACACTGTCAGTTGAGGGCACACATCACAAATAAGTTTCTGAGAATGCTGCTGTCTGCTTTTTGTATGTAATCCCGTTTCCAACGAAATCCTCCCAGCTAGCCAAATATCCACTTGCAGATTCCGCAAAAAGAGTGTTTCAAAACTGCTCCTTCAAAACGATGGTTTAGTTCTGTTAGTTGAGTACATACATCACAGATAAGTTTCTGAGAATGCTTCTGTCTAGTTTTTATGGGAGGATATTTCCTTTTTCAACACAAGCCTGAATGCGCTCCGAATGGACACTTCCAGATATGACAAAAGGCGTGTTTCAAACCTGCTCTCTCAAAGGGAATGTTCAACTCTGTGACTTCAATGCAAACATCACAAAGAAGTTTCTGAGAATGCTGCTGTCTGCTTTTTACATGTATTCCCGTTTCCAACGAAATCCTCAAAGCTGCCCTAATATCCACTTGCATATTCCACAAAAAGAGTGTTGCAAAACTGCTCTCTCAAAAGAAAGGTTCAACTCTGTTAGCTGAGTAGATCCATCACAGAAAAGTTTCTGACGTTGCTTCTATCTAGATTTTCTTGGAAGATATTTCCATTTTCACCGTCGTCCTGAAAGCGCTCCAAATGTCCACTTCCAGGGAATGCAGAAAGAGTGTTTCCAACCTGCTCTATAAAAGGGAATGTTCAACACTGGGACTTCAATCGAAACATCCCAACGAAGTTTCTGAGAATGCTTCTGTCTAGAGTTTATATGAAGCCATTCCCGTTTGCAACGAAATCCTCAAAGCTATCCAAATATCCTCTTGCAGATTTTACAAAAAGAGTGTTTCAAAACTGCTCTATCAAAAGAAAGGTTCAACTCTGTTAGTTGAGGGCACACATCACAAATAAATTTCTGAGAATGCTTCTGTCTAGTTTTCATGGGAAGATATTTCCTTTTTCAACATAGGCCTGAAAGCGATCCAAATGTCCACATCCAGATACTACAAAAAGAGTGTTGCAAACCTGCTCTATGAAAGGGAATGTTCAACTCTGCGACTTGAATGCAAACATCACAAAGAAGTTTCTGAGAATGCTGCTGTCTGCTTTTTGTATGTAATCCCGTTTCCAACGAAATCCTCCAAGCTAGCCAAATATCCAGTTGCAGATTCCGCAAAAAGAGTGTTTCAAAACTGCTCCTTCAAAACGATGGTTTAGTTCTGTTAGTTGAGTACATACATCACAAATAAGTTTCTGAGAATGCTTCTGTCTAGTTTTTATGGGAGGATATTTCCTTTTTCAACACAAGCCTGAATGCGCTCCGAATGGACACTTCCAGATATGACAAAAGGCGTGTTGCAAACCTGCTCTCTCAAAGGGAATGTTCAACTCTGTGACTTCAATGCAAACATCACAAAGAAGTTTCTGAGAATGCTGCTGTCTGCTTTTTACATGTATTCCCGTTTCCAACGAAATCCTCAAAGCTGCCCTAATATCCACTTGCATATTCCACAAAAAGAGTGTTGCAAAACTGCTCTCTCAAAAGAAAGGTTCAACTCTGTTAGCTGAGTAGATCCATCACAGAAAAGTTTCTGACGTTGCTTCTATCTAGATTTTCTTGGAAGATATTTCCATTTTCACCGTCGTCCTGAAAGCGCTCCAAATGTCCACTTCCAGGGAATGCAGAAAGAGTGTTTCCAACCTGCTCTATAAAAGGGAATGTTCAACACTGGGACTTCAATCGAAACATCCCAACGAAGTTTCTGAGAATGCTTCTGTCTAGAGTTTATATGAAGCCATTCCCGTTTGCAACGAAATCCTCAAAGCTATCCAAATATCCTCTTGCAGATTTTACAAAAAGAGTGTTTCAAAACTGCTCTATCAAAAGAAAGGTTCAACTCTGTTAGTTGAGGGCACACATCACAAATAAACTTCTGAGAATGCTTCTGTCTAGTTTTTACGGGAAGATATTTCCCTTTTCACCATACGCCTGAAAGCGCTCCAAATGTCCTCATCCAGATACTACAAAAAGAGTGTTTCCAACCTGCTCTACGAAAGGGAATGCTCAACTCTGTGAATTGAATGCAGACATCACAAAGAAGTTTCTGAGAATGCTGCTGTCTCCTTTGTATATGTAATCCCGTTTCCAACGAAATCCTCAAAGCTAGCCAAATATCCACTTGCAGATTCCACGAAAACAGTGTTTCAAAACTGCTCCTTCAAAACGATGGTTCAATCCTGTTAGTTGAGCAAACACATCACAAATAAGTTTCTGAGAATGCTTCCGTCTAGTTTTTATGGGAAGATATTTCCTTTTTCAACATAGGCCTGAAAGCGCTCCAAATGTCCACTTCCAGATACTACAAAAAGAGTGTTTCAAATCTGCTCTATGAATGGGAATGTTCTACTCTGTGACTTGAATGCAACATCCCAAAGAAGTTTCTGAGAATGCTTCTGTCTAGAGTTTATCTGAAGACATACCCGTTTCCAACGAAATCCTCAAAGCTATCCAAATATCCTCTTGCAGATTCTACAAAAAGTGTGTTTCAAAGCTGCTCTTTGCAAAGAAAGGTTCAACTCTGTCAGTAGAGGGCACACATCACGAACAAGTTTCTGAGAATGCTTTCTGTCTAGTTTTCATGGGAAGATATGTCCTTTTTCACGTTACCCCTGAAACCACGCCAAATGTTCACTTATAGACACTACAAAAAGAGTGTTTCAAACCTGCTCTGTGAAAGGGAATGTTCAACACTGTGACTTCAATTGAAACATCCCAAAGAAGTTTCTGAGAATGCTTCTGTCTAGAGTTTATCTGAAGACATTCCCGTTTCCCAAGAAATCCTCAAAGCTATCCAAATATCCTCTTGCAGATTCTACAAAAAGAGTGTTTCAAAACTGCTCTTTGCAAAGAAAGGTTCAACTCTGTCAGTAGAGGGCACACATCACAAACAAGTTTCTGAGAATGCTTCTGTCTAGTTTTTATGGGAAGATATTTCCTTTTTCACCTTAGGCCTGAAAGGAATCCAAATGTTCACTTACAGACACTACAAAAAGAGTGTTTCTAACCTGCTCTGTGAAAGGGAGTGTTCAATTCTGTGACTTGAATGCAAACATCACAAAGTAGTTTCTGACAATGCTGCTGTCTGCTTTTTATACGTATTCCCGTTTCCAACGAAATCCTCCAAGCTGGCCTAATACCCACTTGCATATTCCACAAAAAGAGTGTTTCAAAACTGCTCTCTCAAAAGAAAGGTTCAACTCTGTTTGCTGAGTAGATACATCATGAAAAAAGTTCTGACATTGCTTCTATCTAGTTTTTATTGGAAGATATCTCCTTTTTCACCGTAGACCTGAAAGCGCTCCAAATGTCCACTTCCAGATAGTACAAAAAGAGGGTTTCAAACCTGCTCTATGAAAGGGAATGTTCAACACTGGGACTTCAATTGAAACATCCCAAAGCAGTTTCTGAGAATGCTTCTGTGTAGAGTTTACATGAAGACATTCCCGTTTCCAACGAAATCCTCAAAGCTATCCAAATATCCTCTTGCAGATTTTACAAAAAGTGTGTTTCAGAACTGCTCTATCAAAACAAAGGTTCAACACTGTCAGTTGAGGGCACACATCACAAATAAGTTTCTGAGAATGCTGCTGTCTGCTTTTTGTATGTAATCCCGTTTCCAACGAAATCCTCCCAGCTAGCCAAATATCCACTTGCAGATTCCGCAAAAAGAGTGTTTCAAAACTGCTCCTTCAAAACGATGGTTTAGTTCTGTTAGTTGAGTACATACATCACAGATAAGTTTCTGAGAATGCTTCTGTCTAGTTTTTCTGGGAGGATATTTCCTTTTTCAACACAAGCCTGAATGCGCTCCGAATGGACACTTCCAGATATGACAAAAGGCGTGTTTCAAACCTGCTCTCTCAAAGGGAATGTTCAACTCTGTGACTTCAATGCAAACATCACAAAGAAGTTTCTGAGAATGCTGCTGTCTGCTTTTTACATGTATTCCCGTTTCCAACGAAATCCTCAAAGCTGCCCTAATATCCACTTGCATATTCCACAAAAAGAGTGTTGCAAAACTGCTCTCTCAAAAGAAAGGTTCAACTCTGTTAGCTGAGTAGATCCATCACATAAAAGTTTCTGACATTGCTTCTATCTAGATTTTCTTGGAAGATATTTCCATTTTCACCGTCGTCCTGAAAGCGCTCCAAATGTCCACTTCCAGGGAATGCAGAAAGAGTGTTTCCAACCTGCTCTATAAAAGGGAATGTTCAACACTGGGACTTCAATCGAAACATCCCAACGAAGTTTCTTGAGAATGCTTCTGTCTAGAGTTTATATGAAGCCATTCCCGTTTGCAACGAAATCCTCAAAGCTATCCAAATATCCTCTTGCAGATTTTACAAAAAGAGTGTTTCAAAACTGCTCTATCAAAAGAAAGGTTCAACTCTGTTAGTTGAGGGCACACATCACAAATAAACTTCTGAGAATGCTTCTGTCTAGTTTTCATGGGAAGATATTTCCTTTTTCACCATAGGCCTGAAAGCGATCCAAATGTCCACATCCAGATACTACAAAAAGAGTGTTTCAAACCTGCTCTATGAAAGGGAATGTTCAACTCTGTGACTTGAATGCAAACATCACAAAGAAGTTTCTGAGAATGCTGCTGTCTCCTTTTTATATGTAATCCCGTTTCCAACGAAATCCTCAAAGCTAGCCAAATATCCACTTGCAGATTCCACGAAAACAGTGTTTCAAAACTGCTCCTTCAAAACGATGGTTCAATCCTGTTAGTTGAGCAAACACATCACAAATAAGTTTCTGAGAATGCTTCCGTCTAGTTTTTATGGGAAGATATTCCCTTTTTCAACATAGGCCTGAAAGCGCTCCAAATGTCCACTTCCAGATACTACAAAAAGAGTGTTTCAAATCTGCTCTATGAATGGGAATGTTCTACTCTGTGACTTGAATGCAACATCCCAAAGAAGTTTCTGAGAATGCTTCTGTCTAGAGTTTATCTGAAGACATACCCGTTTCCAACGAAATCCTCAAAGCTATCCAAATATCCTCTTGCAGATTCTACAAAAAGTGTGTTTCAAAGCTGCTCTTTGCAAAGAAAGGTTCAACTCTGTCAGTAGAGGGCACACATCACGAACAAGTTTCTGAGAATGCTTCTGTCTAGTTTTTATGGGAAGATATTTCCTTTTTCACGTTAGGCCTGAAAGCACGCCAAATGTTCACTTATAGACACTACAAAAAGAGTGTTTCAAACCTGCTCTGTGAAAGGGAATGTTCAACACTGTGACTTCAATTGAAACATCCCAAAGAAGTTTCTGAGAATGCTTCTGTCTAGAGTTTATCTGAAGACATTCCCGTTTCCCAAGAAATCCTCAAAGCTATCCAAATATCCTCTTGCAGATTCTACAAAAAGAGTGTTTCAAAACTGGTCTTTGCAAAGAAAGGTTCAACTCTGTCAGTAGAGGGCACACATCACAAACAAGTTTCTGAGAATGCTTCTGTCTAGTTTTTATGGGAAGATATTTCCTTTTTCACCTTAGGCCTGAAAGCAATCCAAATGTTCACTTACAGACACTACAAAAAGAGTGTTTCAAACCTGCTCTGTGAAAGGGAGTGTTCAATTCTGTGACTTGAATGCAAACATCACAAAGTAGTTTCTGACAATGCTGCTGTCTGCTTTTTATACGTATTCCCGTTTCCAACGAAATCCTCCAAGCTGGCCTAATACCCACTTGCATATTCCACAAAAAGAGTGTTTCAAAACTGCTCTCTCAAAAGAAAGGTTCAACTCTGTTTGCTGAGTAGATACATCACGAAAAAAGTTCTGACATTGCTTCTATCTAGTTTTTATTGGAAGATATCTCCTTTTTCACCGTAGACCTGAAAGCGCTCCAAATGTCCACTTCCAGATAGTACAAAAAGAGTGTTTCAAACCTGCTCTATGAAAGGGAATGTTCAACACTGGGACTTCAATTGAAACATCCCAAAGCAGTTTCTGAGAATGCTTCTGTCTAGAGTTTACATGAAGACATTCCCGTTTCCAACGAAATCCTCAAAGCTATCCAAATATCCTCTTGCAGATTTTACAAAAAGTGTGTTTCAGAACTGCTCTATCAAAACAAAGGTTCAACACTGTCAGTTGAGGGCACACATCACAAATAAGTTTCTGAGAATGCTTCTGTCTAGTTTTCATGGGAAGATATTTCCTTTTTCACCATAGGCCAGAAAGCGATCCAAATGTCCACATCCAGATACTACAAAAAGAGTGTTTCCAACCTGCTCTATGAAAGGGAATGCTCAACTCTGTGAATTGAATGCAGACATCACAAAGAAGTTTCTCAGAATGCTGCTGTCTCCTTTTTATATGTAATCCCGTTTCCATCGAAATCCTCAAAGCTAGCCAAATATCCACTTGCAGATTCCACGAAAACAGTGTTTCAAAACTGCTCCTTCAAAACGATGGTTCAATTCTGTTAGTTGAGCAAACACATCACAAGTAAGTTTCTGAGAATGCTTCCGTCTAGTTTTTATGGGAAGATATTTCCTTTTTCAACATAGGCCTGAAAGCGCTCCAAATGTCCACTTCCAGATACTACAAAAAGAGTGTTTCAAATCTGCTCTATGAATGGGAATGTTCTACTCTGTGACTTGCATGCAACATCCCAAAGAAGTTTCTGAGAATGCTTCTGTCTAGAGTTTATCTGAAGACATACCCGTTTCCAACGAAATCCTCAAAGCTATCCAAATATCCTCTTGCAGATTCTACAAAAAGTGTGTTTCAAAGCTGCTCTTTGTAAAGAAAGGTTCAACTCTGTCAGTAGAGGGCACACATCACGAACAAGTTTCTGAGAATGCTTCTGTCTAGTTTTTATGGGAAGATATTTCCTTTTTCACGTTACGCCTGAAAGCACGCCAAATGTTCACTTATAGACACTACAAAAAGAGTGTTTCAAACCTGCTCTGTGAAAGGGAATGTTCAACACTGTGACTTCAATTGAAACATCCCAAAGAAGTTTCTGAGAATGCTTCTTTCTAGAGTTTATCTGAAGACATTCCCGTTTCCCAAGAAATCCTCAAAGCTATCCAAATATCCTCTTGCAGATTCTACAAAAAGTGTGTTTCAAAACTGCTCTTTGCAAAGAAAGGTTCAACTCTGTCAGTAGAGGGCACACATCACAAACAAGTTTCTGAGAATGCTTCTGTCTAGTTTTTATGGGAAGATATTTCCTTTTTCACCTTAGGCCTGAAAGCAATCCAAATGTTCACTTACAGACACTACAAAAAGAGTGTTTCAAACCTGCTCTGTGAAAGGGAGTGTTCAATTCTGTGACTTGAATGCAAACATCACAAAGTAGTTTCTGACAATGCTGCTGTCTGCTTTTTATACGTATTCCCGTTTCCAACGAAATCCTCCAAGCTGGCCTAATACCCACTTGCATATTCCACAAAAAGAGTGTTTCAAAACTGCTCTCTCAAAAGAAAGGTTCAACTCTGTTTGCTGAGTAGATACATCATGAAAAAAGTTCTGACATTGCTTCTATCTAGTTTTTATTGGAAGATATCTCCTTTTTCACCGTAGACCTGAAAGCGCTCCAAATGTCCACTTCCAGATAGTACAAAAAGAGTGTTTCAAACCTGCTCTATGAAAGGGAATGTTCAACACTGGGACTTCAATTGAAACATCCCAAAGCAGTTTCTGAGAATGCTTCTGTCTAGAGTTTACATGAAGACATTCCCGTTTCCAACGAAATCCTCAAAGCTATCCAAATATCCTCTTGCAGATTTTACAAAAAGTGTGTTTCAGAACTGCTCTATCAAAACAAAGGTTCAACACTCTCAGTTGAGGGCACACATCACAAATAAGTTTCTGAGAATGCTGCTGTCTGCTTTTTGTATGTAATCCCGTTTCCAACGAAATCCTCCCAGCTAGCCAAATATCCACTTGCAGATTCCGCAAAAAGAGTGTTTCAAAACTGCTCCTTCAAAACGATGGTTTAGTTCTGTTAGTTGAGTACATACATCACAGATAAGTTTCTGAGAATGCTTCTGTCTAGTTTTTATGGGAGGATATTTCCTTTTTCAACACAAGCCTGAATGCGCTCCGAATGGACACTTCCAGATATGACAAAAGGCGTGTTTCAAACCTGCTCTCTCAAAGGGAATGTTCAACTCTGTGACTTCAATGCAAACATCACAAAGAAGTTTCTGAGAATGCTGCTGTCTGCTTTTTACATGTATTCCCGTTTCCAACGAAATCCTCAAAGCTGCCCTAATATCCACTTGCATATTCCACAAAAAGAGTGTTGCAAAACTGCTCTCTCAAAAGAAAGGTTCAACTCTGTTAGCTGAGTAGATCCATCACATAAAAGTTTCTGACGTTGCTTCTATCTAGATTTTCTTGGAAGATATTTCCATTTTCACCGTCGTCCTGAAAGCGCTCCAAATGTCCACTTCCAGGGAATGCAGAAAGAGTGTTTCCAACCTGCTCTATAAAAGGGAATGTTCAACACTGGGACTTCAATCGAAACATCCCAACGAAGTTTCTGAGAATGCTTCTGTCTAGAGTTTATATGAAGCCATTCCCGTTTGCAACGAAATCCTCAAAGCTATCCAAATATCCTCTTGCAGATTTTACAAAAAGAGTGTTTCAAAACTGCTCTATCAAAAGAAAGGTTCAACTCTGTTAGTTGAGGGCACACATCACAAATAAATTTCTGAGAATGCTTCTGTCTAGTTTTTACGGGAAGATATTTCCTTTTTCACCATACGCCTGAAAGCGCTCCAAATGTCCTCATCCAGATACTACAAAAAGAGTGTTTCCAACCTGCTCTATGAAAGGGAATGCTCAACTCTGTGAATTGAATGCAGACATCACAAAGAAGTTTCTGAGAATGCTGCTGTCTCCTTTTTATATGTAATCCCGTTTCCAACGAAATCCTCAAAGCTAGCCAAATATCCACTTGCAGATTCCACGAAAACAGTGTTTCAAAACTGCTCCTTCAAAACGATGGTTCAATTCTGTTAGTTGAGCAAACACATCACAAGTAAGTTTCTGAGAATGCTTCCGTCTAGTTTTTATGGGAAGATATTTCCTTTTTCAACATAGGCCTGAAAGCGCTCCAAATGTCCACTTCCAGATACTACAAAAAGAGTGTTTCAAATCTGCTCTATGAATGGGAATGTTCTACTCTGTGACTTGAATGCAACATCCCAAAGAAGTTTCTGAGAATGCTTCTGTCTAGAGTTTATCTGAAGACATACCCGTTTCCAACGAAATCCTCAAAGCTATCCAAATATCCTCTTGCAGATTCTACAAAAAGAGTGTTTCAAAGCTGCTCTTTGCAAAGAAAGGTTCAACTCTGTCAGTAGAGGGCACACATCACGAACAAGTTTCTGAGAATGCTTCTGTCTCGTTTTTATGGGAAGATATTTCCTTTTTCACGTTAGGCCTGAAAGCACGCCAAATGTTCACTTATAGACACTACAAAAAGAGTGTTTCAAACCTGCTCTGTGAAAGGGAATGTTCAACACTGTGACTTCAATTGAAACATCCCAAAGAAGTTTCTCAGAATGCTTTCTGTCTAGAGTTTATCTGAAGACATTCCCGTTTCCCAAGAAATCCTCAAAGCTATCCAAATATCCTCTTGCAGATTCTACAAAAAGAGTGTTTCAAAACTGCTCTTTGCAAAGAAAGGTTCAACTCTGTCAGTAGAGGGCACACATCACAAACAAGTTTCTGAGAATGCTTCTGTCTAGTTTTTATGGGAAGATATTTCCTTTTTCACCTTAGGCCTGAAATCAATCCAAATGTTCACTTACAGACACTACAAAAAGAGTGTTTCAAACCTGCTCTGTGAAAGGGAGTGTTCAATTCTGTGACTTGAATGCAAACATCACAAAGTAGTTTCTGACAATGCTGCTGTCTGCTTTTTATACGTATTCCCGTTTCCAACGAAATCCTCCAAGCTGGCCTAATACCCACTTGCATATTCCACAAAAAGAGTGTTTCAAAACTGCTCTCTCAAAAGAAAGGTTCAACTCTGTTTGCTGAGTAGATACATCATGAAAAAAGTTCTGACATTGCTTCTATCTAGTTTTTATTGGAAGATATCTCCTTTTTCACCGTAGACCTGAAAGCGCTCCAAATGTCCACTTCCAGATAGTACAAAAAGAGTGTTTCAAACCTGCTCTATGAAAGGGAATGTTCAACACTGGGACTTCAATTGAAACATCCCAAAGCAGTTTCTGAGAATGCTTCTGTGTAGAGTTTACATGAAGACATTCCCGTTTCCAACGAAATCCTCAAAGCTATCCAAATATCCTCTTGCAGATTTTACAAAAAGTGTGTTTCAGAACTGCTCTATCAAAACAAAGGTTCAACACTGTCAGTTGAGGGCACACATCACAAATAAGTTTCTGAGAATGCTTCTGTCTAGTTTTCATGGGAAGATATTTCCTTTTTCACCATAGGCCTGAAAGCGATCCAAATGTCCACATCCAGATACTACAAAAAGAGTGTTTCAAACCTGCTCTATGAAAGGGAATGTTCAACTCTGTGACTTGAATGCAAACATCACAAAGAAGTTTCTGAGAATGCTGCTGTCTGCTTTTTGTATGTAATCCCGTTTCCAACGAAATCCTCCCAGCTAGCCAAATATCCACTTGCAGATTCTGCAAAAAGAGTGTTTCAAAACTGCTCCTTCAAAACGATGGTTTAGTTCTGTTAGTTGAGTACATACATCACAGATAAGTTTCTGAGAATGCTTCTGTCTAGTTTTTATGGGAGGATATTTCCTTTTTCAACACAAGCCTGAATGCGCTCCGAATGGACACTTCCAGATATGACAAAAGGCGTGTTTCAAACCTGCTCTCTCAAAGGGAATGTTCAACTCTGTGACTTCAATGCAAACATCACAAAGAAGTTTCTGAGAATGCTGCTGTCTGCTTTTTACATGTATTCCCGTTTCCAACGAAATCCTCAAAGCTGCCCTAATATCCACTTGCATATTCCACAAAAAGAGTGTTGCAAAACTGCTCTCTCAAAAGAAAGGTTCAACTCTGTTAGCTGAGTAGATCCATCACAGAAAAGTTTCTGACGTTGCTTCTATCTAGATTTTCTTGGAAGATATTTCCATTTTCACCGTCGTCCTGAAAGCGCTCCAAATGTCCACTTCCAGGGAATGCAGAAAGAGTGTTTCCAACCTGCTCTATAAAAGGGAATGTTCAACACTGGGACTTCAATCGAAACATCCCAACGAAGTTTCTGAGAATGCTTCTGTCTAGAGTTTACATGAAGACATTCCCGTTTCCAACGAAATCCTCAAAGCTATCCAAATATCCTCTTGCAGATTTTACAAAAAGAGTGTTTCAAAACTGCTCTATCAAAAGAAAGGTTCAACTCTGTTAGTTGAGGGCACACATCACAAATAAGTTTCTGAGAATGCTTCTGTCTAGTTTTTACGGGAAGATATTTCCTTTTTCACCATACGCCTGAAAGCGCTCCAAATGTCCTCATCCAGATACTACAAAAAGAGTGTTTCCAACCTGCTCTATGAAAGGGAATGCTCAACTCTGTGACTTGAATGCAGACATCACAAAGAAGTTTCTGAGAATGTTGCTGTCTCCTTTTTATATGTAATCCCGTTTCCAACGAAATCCTCAAAGCTAGCCAAATATCCACTTGCAGATTCCACGAAAACAGTGTTTCAAAACTGCTCCTTCAAAACGATGGTTCAATCCTGTTAGTTGAGCAAACACATCACAAATAAGTTTCTGAGAATGCTTCCGTCTAGTTTTTATGGGAAGATATTTCCTTTTTCAACATAGGCCTGAAAGCGCTCCAAATGTCCACTTCCAGATACTACAAAAAGAGTGTTTCAAATCTGATTTATGAATGGGAATGTTCTACTCTGTGACTTGCATGCAACATCCCAAAGAAGTTTCTGAGAATGCTTCTGTCTAGAGTTTATCTGAAGACATACCCGTTTCCAACGAAATCCTCCAAGCTATCCAAATATCCTCTTGCAGATTCTACAAAAAGTGTGTTTCAAAGCTGCTCTTTGCAAAGAAAGGTTCAACTCTGTCAGTAGAGGGCACACATCACGAACAAGTTTCTGAGAATGCTTCTGTCTAGTTTTTATGGGAAGATATTTCCTTTTTCACGTTAGGCCTGAAAGCACGCCAAATGTTCACTTATAGACACTACAAAAAGAGTGTTTCAAACCTGCTCTGTGAAAGGGAATGTTCAACACTGTGACTTCAATTGAAACATCCCAAAGAAGTTTCTGAGAATGCTTCTGTCTAGAGTTTATCTGAAGACATTCCCGTTTCCCAAGAAATCCTCAAAGCTATCCAAATATCCTCTTGCAGATTCTACAAAAAGAGTGTTTCAAAACTGCTCTTTGCAAAGAAAGGTTCAACTCTGTCAGTAGAGGGCACACATCACAAACAAGTTTCTGAGAATGCTTCTGTCTAGTTTTTATGGGAAGATATTTCCTTTTTCACCTTAGGCCTGAAAGCAATCCAAATGTTCACTTACAGACACTACAAAAAGAGTGTTTCAAACCTGCTCTGTGAAAGGGAGTGTTCAATTCTGTGACTTGAATGCAAACATCACAAAGTAGTTTCTGACAATGCTGCTGTCTGCTTTTTATACGTATTCCCGTTTCCAACGAAATCCTCCAAGCTGGCCTAATACCCACTTGCATATTCCACAAAAAGAGTGTTTCAAAACTGCTCTCTCAAAAGAAAGGTTCAACTCTGTTTGCTGAGTAGATACATCATGAAAAAAGTTCTGACATTGCTTCTATCTAGTTTTTATTGGAAGATATCTCCTTTTTCACCGTAGACCTGAAAGCGCTCCAAATGTCCACTTCCAGATAGTACAAAAAGAGTGTTTCAAACCTGCTCTATGAATGGGAATGTTCAACACTGGGACTTCAATTGAAACATCCCAAAGCAGTTTCTGAGAATGCTTCTGTCTAGAGTTTACATGAAGACATTCCCGTTTCCAACGAAATCCTCAAAGCTATCCAAATATCCTCTTGCAGATTTTACAAAAAGTGTGTTTCAGAACTGCTCTATCAAAACAAAGGTTCAACACTGTCAGTTGAGGGCACACATCACAAATAAGTTTCTGAGAATGCTGCTGTCTGCTTTTTGTATGTAATCCCGTTTCCAACGAAATCCTCCCAGCTAGCCAAATATCCACTTGCAGATTCCGCAAAAAGAGTGTTTCAAAACTGCTCCTTCAAAACGATGGTTTAGTTCTGTTAGTTGAGTACATACATCACAGATAAGTTTCTGAGAATGCTTCTGTCTAGTTTTTATGGGAGGATATTTCCTTTTTCAACACAAGCCTGAATGCGCTCCGAATGGACACTTCCAGATATGACAAAAGGCGTGTTTCAAACCTGCTCTCTCAAAGGGAATGTTCAACTCTGTGACTTCAATGCAAACATCACAAAGAAGTTTCTGAGAATGCTGCTGTCTGCTTTTTACATGTATTCCCGTTTCCAACGAAATCCTCAAAGCTGCCCTAATATCCACTTGCATATTCCACAAAAAGAGTGTTGCAAAACTGCTCTCTCAAAAGAAAGGTTCAACTCTGTTAGCTGAGTAGATCCATCACAGAAAAGTTTCTGACGTTGCTTCTATCTAGATTTTCTTGGAAGATATTTCCATTTTCACCGTCGTCCTGAAAGCGCTCCAAATGTCCACTTCCAGGGAATGCAGAAAGAGTGTTTCCAACCTGCTCTATAAAAGGGAATGTTCAACACTGGGACTTCAATCGAAACATCCCAACGAAGTTTCTGAGAATGCTTCTGTCTAGAGTTTATATGAAGCCATTCCCGTTTGCAACGAAATCCTCAAAGCTATCCAAATATCCTCTTGCAGATTTTACAAAAAGAGTGTTTCAAAACTGCTCTATCAAAAGAAAGGTTCAACTCTGTTAGTTGAGGGCACACATCACAAATAAACTTCTGAGAATGCTTCTGTCTAGTTTTCATGGGAAGATATATTTCCTTTTTCACCATAGGCTTGAAAGCGATCCAAATGTCCACATCCAGATACTACAAAAAGAGTGTTTCAAACCTGCTCTATGAAAGGGAATGTTCAACTCTGTGACTTGAATGCAAACATCACAAAGAAGTTTCTGAGAATGCTGCTGTCTCCTTTTTATATGTAATCCCGTTTCCAACGAAATCCTCAAAGCTAGCCAAATATCCACTTGCAGATTCCACGAAAACAGTGTTTCAAAACTGCTCCTTCAAAACGATGGTTCAATCCTGTTAGTTGAGCAAACACATCACAATTAAGTTTCTGAGAATGCTTCCGTCTAGTTTTTATGGGAAGATATTTCCTTTTTCAACATAGGCCTGAAAGCGCTCCAAATGTCCACTTCCAGATACTACAAAAAGAGTGTTTCAAATCTGCTCTATGAATGGGAATGTTCTACTCTGTGACTTGAATGCAACATCCCAAAGAAGTTTCTGAGAATGCTTCTGTCTAGAGTTTATCTGAAGACATACCCGTTTCCAACGAAATCCTCAAAGCTATCCAAATATCCTCTTGCAGATTCTACAAAAAGAGTGTTTCAAAGCTGCTCTTTGCAAAGAAAGGTTCAACTCTGTCAGTAGAGGGCACACATCATGAACAAGTTTCTGAGAATGCTTCTGTCTAGTTTTTATGGGAAGATATTTCCTTTTTCACGTTACGCCTGAAAGCACGCCAAATGTTCACTTATAGACACTACAAAAAGAGTGTTTCAAACCTGCTCTGTGAAAGGGAATGTTCAACACTGTGACTTCAATTGAAACATCCCAAAGAAGTTTCTGAGAATGCTTCTGTCTAGAGTTTATCTGAAGACATTCCCGTTTCCCAAGAAATCCTCAAAGCTATCCAAATATCCTCTTGCAGATTCTACAAAAAGAGTGTTTCAAAACTGCTCTTTGCAAAGAAAGGTTCAACTCTGTCAGTAGAGGGCACACATCACAAACAAGTTTCTGAGAATGCTTCTGTCTAGTTTTTATGGGAAGATATTTCCTTTTTCACCTTAGGCCTGAAAGCAATCCAAATGTTCACCTACAGACACTACAAAAAGAGTGTTTCAAACCTGCTCTGTGAAAGGGAGTGTTCAATTCTGTGACTTGAATGCAAACATCACAAAGTAGTTTCTGACAATGCTGCTGTCTGCTTTTTATACGTATTCCCGTTTCCAACGAAATCCTCCAAGCTGGCCTAATACCCACTTGCATATTCCACAGAAAGAGTGTTTCGAAACTGCTCTCTCAAAAGAAAGGTTCAACTCTGTTTGCTGAGTAGATACATCATGAAAAAAGTTCTGACATTGCTTCTATCTAGTTTTTATTGGAAGATATCTCCTTTTTCACCGTAGACCTGAAAGCGCTCCAAATGTCCACTTCCAGATAGTACAAAAAGAGTGTTTCAAACCTGCTCTATGAAAGGGAATGTTCAACACTGGGACTTCAATTGAAACATCCCAAAGCAGTTTCTGAGAATGCTTCTGTCTAGAGTTTACATGAAGACATTCCCGTTTCCAACGAAATCCTCAAAGCTATCCAAATATCCTCTTGCAGATTTTACAAAAAGTGTGTTTCAGAACTGCTCTATCAAAACAAAGGTTCAACACTGTCAGTTGAGGGCACACATCACAAATAAGTTTCTGAGAATGCTGCTGTCTGCTTTTTTATGTAATCCCGTTTCCAACGAAATCCTCCAAGCTAGCCAAATATCCAGTTGCAGATTCCGCAAAAAGAGTGTTTCAAAACTGCTCCTTCAAAACGATGGTTTAGTTCTGTTAGTTGAGTACATACATCACAAATAAGTTTCTGAGAATGCTTCTGTCTAGTTTTTATGGGAGGATATTTCCTTTTTCAACACAAGCCTGAATGCGCTCCGAATGGACACTTCCAGATATGACAAAAGGCGTGTTTCAAACCTGCTCTCTCAAAGGGAATGTTCAACTCTGTGACTTCAATGCAAACATCACAAAGAAGTTTCTGAGAATGCTGCTGTCTGCTTTTTACATGTATTCCCGTTTCCAACGAAATCCTCAAAGCTGCCCTAATATCCACTTGCATATTCCACAAAAAGAGTGTTGCAAAACTGCTCTCTCAAAAGAAAGGTTCAACTCTGTTAGCTGAGTAGATCCATCACATAAAAGTTTCTGACGTTGCTTCTATCTAGATTTTCTTGGAAGATATTTCCATTTTCACCGTCGTCCTGAAAGCGCTCCAAATGTCCACTTCCAGGGAATGCAGAAAGAGTGTTTCCAACCTGCTCTATAAAAGGGAATGTTCAACACTGGGACTTCAATCGAAACATCCCAACGAAGTTTCTGAGAATGCTTCTGTCTAGAGTTTATATGAAGCCATTCCCGTTTGCAACGAAATCCTCAAAGCTATCCAAATATCCTCTTGCAGATTTTACAAAAAGAGTGTTTCAAAACTGCTCTATCAAAAGAAAGGTTCAACTCTGTTAGTTGAGGGCACACATCACAAATAAATTTCTGAGAATGCTTCTGTCTAGTTTTCATGGGAAGATATTTCCTTTTTCACCATAGGCCTGAAAGCGATCCAAATGTCCACATCCAGATACTACAAAAAGAGTGTTTCCAACCTGCTCTATGAAAGGGAATGCTCAACTCTGTGAATTGAATGCAGACATCACAAAGAAGTTTCTGAGAATGCTGCTGTCTCCTTTTTATATGTAATCCCGTTTCCAACGAAATCCTCAAAGCTAGCCAAATATCCACTTGCAGATTCCACGAAAACAGTGTTTCAAAACTGCTCCTTCAAAACGATGGTTCAATCCTGTTAGTTGAGCAAACACATCACAATTAAGTTTCTGAGAATGCTTCCGTCTAGTTTTTATGGGAAGATATTTCCTTTTTCAACATAGGCCTGAAAGCGCTCCAAATGTCCACTTCCAGATACTACAAAAAGAGTGTTTCAAATCTGCTCTATGAATGGGAATGTTCTACTCTGTGACTTGAATGCAACATCCCAAATAAGTTTCTGAGAATGCTTCTGTCTAGAGTTTATCTGAAGACATACCCGTTTCCAACGAAATCCTCCAAGCTATCCAAATATCCTCTTGCAGATTCTACAAAAAGAGTGTTTCAAAGCTGCTCTTTGCAAAGAAAGGTTCAACTCTGTCAGTAGAGGGGACACATCAAGAACAAGTTTCTGAGAATGCTTCTGTCTAGTTTTTATGGGAAGATATTTCCTTTTTCACGTTAGGCCTGAAAGCACGCCAAATGTTCACTTATAGACACTACAAAAAGAGTGTTTCAAACCTGCTCTGTGAAAGGGAATGTTCAACACTGTGACTTCAATTGAAACATCCCAAAGAAGTTTCTGAGAATGCTTCTTTCTAGAGTTTATCTGAAGACATTCCCGTTTCCCAAGAAATCCTCAAAGCTATCCAAATATCCTCTTGCAGATTCTACAAAAAGTGTGTTTCAAAACTGCTCTTTGCAAAGAAAGGTTCAACTCTGTCAGTAGAGGGCACACATCACAAACAAGTTTCTGAGAATGCTTCTGTCTAGTTTTTATGGGAAGATATTTCCTTTTTCACCTTAGGCCTGAAAGCAATCCAAATGTTCACTTACAGACACTACAAAAAGAGTGTTTCAAACCTGCTCTGTGAAAGGGAGTGTTCAATTCTGTGACTTGAATGCAAACATCACAAAGTAGTTTCTGACAATGCTGCTGTCTGCTTTTTATACGTATTCCCGTTTCCAACGAAATCCTCCAAGCTGGCCTAATACCCACTTGCATATTCCACAAAAAGAGTGTTTCAAAACTGCTCTCTCAAAAGAAAGGTTCAACTCTGTTTGCTGAGTAGATACATCATGAAAAAAGTTCTGACATTGCTTCTATCTAGTTTTTATTGGAAGATATCTCCTTTTTCACCGTAGACCTGAAAGCGCTCCAAATGTCCACTTCCAGATAGTACAAAAAGAGTGTTTCAAACCTGCTCTATGAATGGGAATGTTCAACACTGGGACTTCAATTGAAACATCCCAAAGCAGTTTCTGAGAATGCTTCTGTCTAGAGTTTACATGAAGACATTCCCGTTTCCAACGAAATCCTCAAAGCTATCCAAATATCCTCTTGCAGATTTTACAAAAAGTGTGTTTCAGAACTGCTCTATCAAAACAAAGGTTCAACACTGTCAGTTGAGTGCACACATCACAAATAAGTTTCTGAGAATGCTGCTGTCTGCTTTTTGTATGTAATCCCGTTTCCAACGAAATCCTCCCAGCTAGCCAAATATCCACTTGCAGATTCCGCAAAAAGAGTGTTTCAAAACTGCTCCTTCAAAACGATGGTTTAGTTCTGTTAGTTGAGTACATACATCACAGATAAGTTTCTGAGAATGCTTCTGTCTAGTTTTTATGGGAGGATATTTCCTTTTTCAACACAAGCCTGAATGCGCTCCGAATGGACACTTCCAGATATGACAAAAGGCGTGTTTCAAACCTGCTCTCTCAAAGGGAATGTTCAACTCTGTGACTTCAATGCAAACATCACAAAGAAGTTTCTGAGAATGCTGCTGTCTGCTTTTTACATGTATTCCCGTTTCCAACGAAATCCTCAAAGCTGTCCTAATATCCACTTGCATATTCCACAAAAAGAGTGTTGCAAAACTGCTCTCTCAAAAGAAAGGTTCAACTCTGTTAGCTGAGTAGATCCATCACATAAAAGTTTCTGACATTGCTTCTATCTAGATTTTCTTGGAAGATATTTCCATTTTCACCGTCGTCCTGAAAGCGCTCCAAATGTCCACTTCCAGGGAATGCAGAAAGAGTGTTTCCAACCTGCTCTATAAAAGGGAATGTTCAACACTGGGACTTCAATCGAAACATCCCAACGAAGTTTCTGAGAATGCTTCTGTCTAGAGTTTATATGAAGCCATTCCCGTTTGCAACGAAATCCTCAAAGCTATCCAAATATCCTCTTGCAGATTTTACAAAAAGAGTGTTTCAAAACTGCTCTATCAAAAGAAAGGTTCAACTCTGTTAGTTGAGGGCACACATCACAAATAAACTTCTGAGAATGCTTCTGTCTAGTTTTTACGGGAAGATATTTCCTTTTTCACCATACGCCTGAAAGCGCTCCAAATGTCCTCATCCAGATACTACAAAAAGAGTGTTTCCAACCTGCTCTAAGAAAGGGAATGCTCAACTCTGTGAATTGAATGCAGACATCACAAAGAAGTTTCTGAGAATGCTGCTGTCTCCTTTGTATATGTAATCCCGTTTGCCAACGAAATCCTCAAAGCTAGCCAAATAACCACTTGCAGATTCCACGAAAACAGTGTTTCAAAACTGCTCCTTCAAAACGATGGTTCAATCCTGTTAGTTGAGCAAACACATCACAAATAAGTTTCTGAGAATGCTTCCGTCTAGTTTTTATGGGAAGATATTTCCTTTTTCAACATAGGCCTGAAAGCGCTCCAAATGTCCACTTCCAGATACTACAAAAAGAGTGTTTCAAATCTGCTCTATGAATGGGAATGTTCTACTCTGTGACTTGAATGCAACATCCCAAAGAAGTTTCTGAGAATGCTTCTGTCTAGAGTTTATCTGAAGACATACCCGTTTCCAACGAAATCCTCCAAGCTATCCAAATATCCTCTTGCAGATTCTACAAAAAGAGTGTTTCAAAGCTGCTCTTTGCAAAGAAAGGTTCAACTCTGTCAGTAGAGGGGACACATCAAGAACAAGTTTCTGAGAATGCTTCTGTCTAGTTTTTATGGGAAGATATTTCCTTTTTCACGTTAGGCCTGAAAGCACGCCAAATGTTCACTTATAGACACTACAAAAAGAGTGTTTCAAACCTGCTCTGTGAAAGGGAATGTTCAACACTGTGACTTCAATTGAAACATCCCAAAGAAGTTTCTGAGAATGCTTCTGTCTAGAGTTTATCTGAAGACATTCCCGTTTCCCAAGAAATCCTCAAAGCTATCCAAATATCCTCTTGCAGATTCTACAAAAAGAGTGTTTCAAAACTGCTCTTTGCAAAGAAAGGTTCAACTCTGTCAGTAGAGGGCACACATCACAAACAAGTTTCTGAGAATGCTTCTGTCTAGTTTTTATGGGAAGATATTTCCTTTTTCACGTTAGGCCTGAAAGCACGCCAAATGTTCACTTATAGACACTACAAAAAGAGTGTTTCAAACCTGCTCTGTGAAAGGGAGTGTTCAATTCTGTGACTTGAATGCAAACATCACAAAGTAGTTTCTGACAATGCTGCTGTCTGCTTTTTATACGTATTCCCGTTTCCAACGAAATCCTCCAAGCTGGCCTAATACCCACTTGCATATTCCACAAAAAGAGTGTTTCAAAACTGCTCTCTCAAAAGAAAGGTTCAACTCTGTTTGCTGAGTAGATACATCATGAAAAAAGTTCTGACATTGCTTCTATCTAGTTTTTATTGGAAGATATCTCCTTTTTCACCGTAGACCTGAAAGCGCTCCAAATGTCCACTTCCAGATAGTACAAAAAGAGTGTTTCAAACCTGCTCTATGAAAGGGAATGTTCAACACTGGGACTTCAATTGAAACATCCCAAAGCAGTTTCTGAGAATGCTTCTGTCTAGAGTTTACATGAAGACATTCCCGTTTCCAACGAAATCCTCAAAGCTATCCAAATATCCTCTTGCAGATTTTACAAAAAGTGTGTTTCAGAACTGCTCTATCAAAACAAAGGTTCAACACTGTCAGTTGAGGGCACACATCACAAATAAGTTTCTGAGAATGCTGCTGTCTGCTTTTTGTATGTAATCCCGTTTCCAACGAAATCCTCCCAGCTAGCCAAATATCCACTTGCAGATTCCGCAAAAAGAGTGTTTCAAAACTGCTCCTTCAAAACGATGGTTTAGTTCTGTTAGTTGAGTACATACATCACAGATAAGTTTCTGAGAATGCTTCTGTCTAGTTTTTATGGGAGGATATTTCCTTTTTCAACACAAGCCTGAATGCGCTCCGAATGGACACTTCCAGATATGACAAAAGGCGTGTTTCAAACCTGCTCTCTCAAAGGGAATGTTCAACTCTGTGACTTCAATGCAAACATCACAAAGAAGTTTCTGAGAATGCTGCTGTCTGCTTTTTACATGTATTCCCGTTTCCAACGAAATCCTCAAAGCTGCCCTAATATCCACTTGCATATTCCACAAAAAGAGTGTTGCAAAACTGCTCTCTCAAAAGAAAGGTTCAACTCTGTTAGCTGAGTAGATCCATCACAGAAAAGTTTCTGACGTTGCTTCTATCTAGATTTTGCTTGGAAGATATTTCCATTTTCACCGTCGTCCTGAAAGCGCTCCAAATGTCCACTTCCAGGGAATGCAGAAAGAGTGTTTCCAACCTGCTCTATAAAAGGGAATGTTCAACACTGGGACTTCAATCGAAACATCCCAACGAAGTTTCTGAGAATGCTTCTGTCTAGAGTTTATATGAAGCCATTCCCGTTTGCAACGAAATCCTCAAAGCTATCCAAATATCCTCTTGCAGATTTTACAAAAAGAGTCTTTCAAAACTGCTCTATCAAAAGAAAGGTTCAACTCTGTTAGTTGACGGCACACATCACAAATAAATTTCTGAGAATGCTTCTGTCTAGTTTTTACGGGAAGATATTTCCTTTTTCACCATACGCCTGAAAGCGCTCCAAATGTCCTCATCCAGATACTACAAAAAGAGTGTTTCCAACCTGCTCTATGAAAGGGAATGCTCAACTCTGTGACTTGAATGCAGACATCACAAAGAAGTTTCTGAGAATGCTGCTGTCTCCTTTTTATATGTAATCCCGTTTCCAACGAAATCCTCAAAGCTAGCCAAATATCCACTTGCAGATTCCACGAAAACAGTGTTTCAAAACTGCTCCTTCAAAACGATGGTTCAATCCTGTTAGTTGAGCAAACACATCACAAATAAGTTTCTGAGAATGCTTCCGTCTAGTTTTTATGGGAAGATATTTCCTTTTACAACATAGGCCTGAAAGCGCTCCAAATGTCCACTTCCAGATACTACAAAAAGAGTGTTTCAAATCTGCTCTATGAATGGGAATGTTCTACTCTGTGACTTGAATGCAACATCCCAAAGAAGTTTCTGAGAATGCTTCTCTCTAGAGTTTATCTGAAGACATACCCGTTTCCAACGAAATCCTCAAAGCTATCCAAATATCCTCTTGCAGATTCTACAAAAAGAGTGTTTCAAAGCTGCTCTTTGCAAAGAAAGGTTCAACTCTGTCAGTAGAGGGCACACATCATGAACAAGTTTCTGAGAATGCTTCTGTCTAGTTTTTATGGGAAGATATTACCTTTTTCACCATAGGCCTGAAAGCAATCCAAATGTTCACTTACAGACACTACAAAAAGAGTGTTTCAAACCTGCTCTGTGAAAGGGAGTGTTCAATTCTGTGACTTGAATGCAAACATCACAAAGTAGTTTCTGACAATGCTGCTGTCTGCTTTTTATACGTATTCCCGTTTCCAACGAAATCCTCCAAGCTGGCCTAATACCCACTTGCATATTCCACAAAAAGAGTGTTTCAAAACTGCTCTCTCAAAAGAAAGGTTCAACTCTGTTTGCTGAGTAGATACATCATGAAAAAAGTTCTGACATTGCTTCTATCTAGTTTTTATTGGAAGATATCTCCTTTTTCACCGTAGACCTGAAAGCGCTCCAAATGTCCACTTCCAGATAGTACAAAAAGAGTGTTTCAAACCTGCTCTATGAAAGGGAATGTTCAACACTGGGACTTCAATTGAAACATCCCAAAGCAGTTTCTGAGAATGCTTCTGTCTAGAGTTTACATGAAGACATTCCCGTTTCCAACGAAATCCTCAAAGCTATCCAAATATCCTCTTGCAGATTTTACAAAAAGTGTGTTTCAGAACTGCTCTATCAAAACAAAGGTTCAACACTGTCAGTTGAGGGCACACATCACAAATAAGTTTCTGAGAATGCTGCTGTCTGCTTTTTGTATGTAATCCCGTTTCCAACGAAATCCTCCCAGCTAGCCAAATATCCACTTGCAGATTCCGCAAAAAGAGTGTTTCAAAACTGCTCCTTCAAAACGATGGTTTAGTTCTGTTAGTTGAGTACATACATCACAGATAAGTTTCTGAGAATGCTTCTGTCTAGTTTTTATGGGAGGATATTTCCTTTTTCAACACAAGCCTGAATGCGCTCCGAATGGACACTTCCAGATATGACAAAAGGCGTGTTTCAAACCTGCTCTCTCAAAGGGAATGTTCAACTCTGTGACTTCAATGCAAACATCACAAAGAAGTTTCTGAGAATGCTGCTGTCTGCTTTTTACATGTATTCCCGTTTCCAACGAAATCCTCAAAGCTGCCCTAATATCCACTTGCATATTCCACAAAAAGAGTGTTGCAAAACTGCTCTCTCAAAAGAAAGGTTCAACTCTGTTAGCTGAGTAGATCCATCACATAAAAGTTTCTGACATTGCTTCTATCTAGATTTTCTTGGAAGATATTTCCATTTTCACCGTCGTCCTGAAAGCGCTCCAAATGTCCACTTCCAGGGAATGCAGAAAGAGTGTTTCCAACCTGCTCTATAAAAGGGAATGTTCAACACTGGGACTTCAATCGAAACATCCCAACGAAGTTTCTGAGAATGCTTCTGTCTAGAGTTTATATGAAGCCATTCCCGTTTGCAACGAAATCCTTAAAGCTATCCAAATATCCTCTTGCATATTTTACAAAAAGAGTGTTTCAAAACTGCTCTATCAAAAGAAAGGTTCAACTCTGTTAGTTGAGGGCACACATCACAAATAAACTTCTGAGAATGCTTCTGTCTAGTTTTCATGGGAAGATATTTCCTTTTTCACCATAGGCCAGAAAGCGATCCAAATGTCCACATCCAGATACTACAAAAAGAGTGTTTCCAACCTGATCTATGAAAGGGAATGCTCAACTCTGTGAATTGAATGCAGACATCACAAAGAAGTTTCTGAGAATGCTGCTGTCTCCTTTTTATATGTAATCCCGTTTCCAACGAAATCCTCAAAGCTAGCCAAATATCCACTTGCAGATTCCACGAAAACAGTGTTTCAAAACTGCTCCTTCAAAACGATGGTTCAATCCTGTTAGTTGAGCAAACACATCACAAATAAGTTTCTGAGAATGCTTCCGTCTAGTTTTTATGGGAAGATATTTCCTTTTTCAACATAGGCCTGAAAGCGCTCCAAATGTCCACTTCCAGATACTACAAAAAGAGTGTTTCAAATCTGCTCTATGAATGGGAATGTTCTACTCTGTGACTTGAATGCAACATCCCAAAGAAGTTTCTGAGAATGCTTCTGTCTAGAGTTTATCTGAAGACATACCCGTTTCCAACGAAATCCTCCAAGCTATCCAAATATCCTCTTGCAGATTCTACAAAAAGTGTGTTTCAAAGCTGCTCTTTGCAAAGAAAGGTTCAACTCTGTCAGTAGAGGGGACACATCAAGAACAAGTTTCTGAGAATGCTTCTGTCTGGTTTTTATGGGAAGATATTTCCTTTTTCACGTTACGCCTGAAAGCACGCCAAATGTTCACTTATAGACACTACAAAAAGAGTGTTTCAAACCTGCTCTGTGAAAGGGAATGTTCAACACTGTGACTTCAATTGAAACATCCCAAAGAAGTTTCTGAGAATGCTTCTGTCTAGAGTTTATCTGAAGACATTCCCGTTTCCCAAGAAATCCTCAAAGCTATCCAAATATCCTCTTGCAGATTCTACAAAAAGAGTGTTTCAAAACTGCTCTTTGCAAAGAAAGGTTCAACTCTGTCAGTAGAGGGCACACATCACAAACAAGTTTCTGAGAATGCTTCTGTCTAGTTTTTATGGGAAGATATTTCCTTTTTCACCTTAGGCCTGAAAGCAATCCAAATGTTCACTTACAGACACTACAAAAAGAGTGTTTCAAACCTGCTCTGTGAAAGGGAGTGTTCAATTCTGTGACTTGAATGCAAACATCACAAAGTAGTTTCTGACAATGCTGCTGTCTGCTTTTTATACGTATTCCCGTTTCCAACGAAATCCTCCAAGCTGGCCTAATACCCACTTGCATATTCCACAAAAATAGTGTTTCAAAACTGCTCCCTCAAAAGAAAGGTTCAACTCTGTTTGCTGAGTAGATACATCATGAAAAAAGTTCTGACATTGCTTCTATCTAGTTTTTATTGGAAGATATCTCCTTTTTCACCGTAGACCTGAAAGCGCTCCAAATGTCCACTTCCAGATAGTACAAAAAGAGTGTTTCAAACCTGCTCTATGAAAGGGAATGTTCAACACTGGGACTTCAATTGAAACATCCCAAAGCAGTTTCTGAGAATGCTTCTGTCTAGAGTTTACATGAAGACATTCCCGTTTCCAACGAAATCCTCAAAGCTATCCAAATATCCTCTTGCAGATTTTACAAAAAGTGTGTTTCAGAACTGCTCTATCAAAACAAAGGTTCAACACTGTCAGTTGAGGGCACACATCACAAATAAGTTTCTGAGAATGCTGCTGTCTGCTTTTTGTATGTAATCCCGTTTCCAACGAAATCCTCCCAGCTAGCCAAATATCCACTTGCAGATTCCGCAAAAAGAGTGTTTCAAAACTGCTCCTTCAAAACGATGGTTTAGTTCTGTTAGTTGAGTACATACATCACAGATAAGTTTCTGAGAATGCTTCTGTCTAGTTTTTATGGGAGGATATTTCCTTTTTCAACACAAGCCTGAATGCGCTCCGAATGGACACTTCCAGATATGACAAAAGGCGTGTTTCAAACCTGCTCTCTCAAAGGGAATGTTCAACTCTGTGACTTCAATGCAAACATCACAAAGAAGTTTCTGAGAATGCTGCTGTCTGCTTTTTACATGTATTCCCGTTTCCAACGAAATCCTCAAAGCTGCCCTAATATCCACTTGCATATTCCACAAAAGGAGTGTTGCAAAACTGCTCTCTCAAAAGAAAGGTTCAACTCTGTTAGCTGAGTAGATCCATCACATAAAAGTTTCTGACATTGCTTCTATCTAGATTTTCTTGGAAGATATTTCCATTTTCACCGTCGTCCTGAAAGCGCTCCAAATGTCCACTTCCAGGGAATGCAGAAAGAGTGTTTCCAACCTGCTCTATAAAAGGGAATGTTCAACACTGGGACTTCAATCGAAACATCCCAACGAAGTTTCTGAGAATGCTTTCTGTCTAGAGTTTATATGAAGCCATTCCCGTTTGCAACGAAATCCTCAAAGCTATCCAAATATCCTCTTGCAGATTTTACAAAAAGAGTGTTTCAAAACTGCTCTATCAAAAGAAAGGTTCAACTCTGTTAGTTGAGGGCACACATCACAAATAAACTTCTGAGAATGCTTCTGTCTAGTTTTTACGGGAAGATATTTCCTTTTTCACCATACGCCTGAAAGCGCTCCAAATGTCCTCATCCAGATACTACAAAAAGAGTGTTTCCAACCTGCTCTATGAAAGGGAATGCTCAACTCTGTGACTTGAATGCAGACATCACAAAGAAGTTTCTGAGAATGCTGCTGTCTCCTTTTTATATGTAATCCCGTTTCCAACGAAATCCTCAAAGCTAGCCAAATATCCACTTGCAGATTCCACGAAAACAGTGTTTCAAAACTGCTCCTTCAAAACGATGGTTCAATCCTGTTAGTTGAGCAAACACATCACAAATAAGTTTCTGAGAATGCTTCCGTCTAGTTTTTATGGGAAGATATTTCCTTTTTCAACATAGGCCTGAAAGCGCTCCAAATGTCCACTTCCAGATACTACAAAAAGAGTGTTTCAAATCTGCTCTATGAATGGGAATGTTCTACTCTGTGACTTGAATGCAACATCCCAAAGAAGTTTCTGAGAATGCTTCTGTCTAGAGTTTATCTGAAGACATACCCGTTTCCAACGAAATCCTCCAAGCTATCCAAATATCCTCTTGCAGATTCTACAAAAAGAGTGTTTCAAAGCTGCTCTTTGCAAAGAAAGGTTCAACTCTGTCAGTAGAGGGGACACATCAAGAACAAGTTTCTGAGAATGCTTCTGTCTAGTTTTTATGGGAAGATATTTCCTTTTTCACGTTACGCCTGAAAGCACGCCAAATGTTCACTTATAGACACTACAAAAAGAGTGTTTCAAACCTGCTCTGTGAAAGGGAATGTTCAACACTGTGACTTCAATTGAAACATCCCAAAGAAGTTTCTGAGAATGCTTCTGTCTAGAGTTTATCTGAAGACATTCCCGTTTCCCAAGAAATCCTCAAAGCTATCCAAATATCCTCTTGCAGATTCTACAAAAAGAGTGTTTCAAAACTGGTCTTTGCAAAGAAAGGTTCAACTCTGTCAGTAGAGGGCACACATCACAAACAAGTTTCTGAGAATGCTTCTGTCTAGTTTTTATGGGAAGATATTTCCTTTTTCACCTTAGGCCTGAAAGCAATCCAAATGTTCACTTACAGACACTACAAAAAGAGTGTTTCAAACCTGCTCTGTGAAAGGGAGTGTTCAGTTCTGTGACTTGAATGCAAACATCACAAAGTAGTTTCTGACAATGCTGCTGTCTGCTTTTTATACGTATTCCCGTTTCCAACGAAATCCTCCAAGCTGGCCTAATACCCACTTGCATATTCCACAAAAAGAGTGTTTCAAAACTGCTCTCTCAAAAGAAAGGTTCAACTCTGTTTGCTGAGTAGATACATCATGAAAAAAGTTCTGACATTGCTTCTATCTAGTTTTTATTGGAAGATATCTCCTTTTTCACCGTAGACCTGAAAGCGCTCCAAATGTCCACTTCCAGATAGTACAAAAAGAGTGTTTCAAACCTGCTCTATGAAAGGGAATGTTCAACACTGGGACTTCAATTGAAACATCCCAAAGCAGTTTCTGAGAATGCTTCTGTGTAGAGTTTACATGAAGACATTCCCGTTTCCAACGAAATCCTCAAAGCTATCCAAATATCCTCTTGCAGATTTTACAAAAAGTGTGTTTCAGAACTGCTCTATCAAAACAAATGTTCAACACTGTCAGTTGAGGGCACACATCACAAATAAGTTTCTGAGAATGCTGCTGTCTGCTTTTTGTATGTAATCCCGTTTCCAACGAAATCCTCCCAGCTAGCCAAATATCCACTTGCAGATTCCGCAAAAAGAGTGTTTCAAAACTGCTCCTTCAAAACGATGGTTTAGTTCTGTTAGTTGAGTACATACATCACAGATAAGTTTCTGAGAATGCTTCTGTCTAGTTTTTATGGGAGGATATTTCCTTTTTCAACACAAGCCTGAATGCGCTCCGAATGGACACTTCCAGATATGACAAAAGGCGTGTTTCAAACCTGCTCTCTCAAAGGGAATGTTCAACTCTGTGACTTCAATGCAAACATCACAAAGAAGTTTCTGAGAATGCTGCTGTCTGCTTTTTACATGTATTCCCGTTTCCAACGAAATCCTCAAAGCTGCCCTAATATCCACTTGCATATTCCACAAAAAGAGTGTTGCAAAACTGCTCTCTCAAAAGAAAGCTTCAACTCTGTTAGCTGAGTAGATCCATCACATAAAAGTTTCTGACATTGCTTCTATCTAGATTTTCTTGGAAGATATTTCCATTTTCACCGTCGTCCTGAAAGCGCTCCAAATGTCCACTTCCAGGGAATGCAGAAAGAGTGTTTCCAACCTGCTCTATAAAAGGGAATGTTCAACACTGGGACTTCAATCGAAACATCCCAACGAAGTTTCTGAGAATGCTTCTGTCTAGAGTTTATATGAAGCCATTCCCGTTTGCAATGAAATCCTCAAAGCTATCCAAATATCCTCTTGCAGATTTTACAAAAAGAGTGTTTCAAAACTGCTCTATCAAAAGAAAGGTTCAACTCTGTTAGTTGAGGGCACACATCACAAATAAATTTCTGAGAATGCTTCTATCTAGTTTTTATGGGAAGATATTTCCTTTTTCACCATAGGCCACAAAGCGCTCCAAATGTCCACTTCCAGATACTACAAAAAGAGTGTTTCAAACCTGCTGTATGAAAGCGAATGTTCAACTCTGTGACTTGAATGCAATCATCACAAAGAAGTTTCTGATAATGCTGCTGTCTCCTTTTTATATGTAATCCCGTTTCCAACGAAATCCTCAAAGCTAGCCAAATATCCACTTGCAGATTCCACGAAAACAGTGTTTCAAAACTGCTCCTTCAAAACGATGGTTCAATTCTGTTAGTTGAGCAAACACATCACAAGTAAGTTTCTGAGAATGCTTCCGTCTAGTTTTTATGGGAAGATATTTCCTTTTTCAACATAGGCCTGAAAGCGCTCCAAATGTCCACTTCCAGATACTACAAAAAGAGTGTTTCAAATCTGCTCTATGAATGGGAATGTTCTACTCTGTGACTTGAATGCAACATCCCAAAGAAGTTTCTGAGAATGCTTCTGTCTAGAGTTTATCTGAAGACATACCCGTTTCCAACGAAATCCTCCAAGCTATCCAAATATCCTCTTGCAGATTCTACAAAAAGAGTGTTTCAAAGCTGCTCTTTGCAAAGAAAGGTTCAACTCTGTCAGTAGAGGGGACACATCAAGAACAAGTTTCTGAGAATGCTTTCTGTCTAGTTTTTATGGGAAGATATTTCCTTTTTCACGTTAGGCCTGAAAGCACGCCAAATGTTCACTTATAGACACTACAAAAAGAGTGTTTCAAACCTGCTCTGTGAAAGGGAATGTTCAACACTGTGACTTCAATTGAAACATCCCAAAGAAGTTTCTGAGAATGCTTCTGTCTAGAGTTTATCTGAAGACATTCCCGTTTCCCAAGAAATCCTCAAAGCTATCCAAATATCCTCTTGCAGATTCTACAAAAAGAGTGTTTCAAAACTGCTCTTTGCAAAGAAAGGTTCAACTCTGTCAGTAGAGGGCACACATCACAAACAAGTTTCTGAGAATGCTTCTGTCTAGTTTTTATGGGAAGATATTTCCTTTTTCACCTTAGGCCTGAAAGCAATCCATATGTTCACTTACAGACACTACAAAAAGAGTGTTTCAAACCTGCTCTGTGAAAGGGAGTGTTCAATTCTGTGACTTGAATGCAAACATCACAAAGTAGTTTCTGACAATGCTGCTGTCTGCTTTTTATACGTATTCCCGTTTCCAACGAAATCCTCCAAGCTGGCCTAATACCCACTTGCATATTCCACACAAAGAGTGTTTCAAAACTGCTCTCTCAAAAGAAAGGTTCAACTCTGTTAGCTGAGTAGATACATCATGAAAAAAGTTCTGACATTGCTTCTATCTAGTTTTTATTGGAAGATATCTCCTTTTTCACCGTAGACCTGAAAGCGCTCCAAATGTCCACTTCCAGATAGTACAAAAAGAGTGTTTCAAACCTGCTCTATGAATGGGAATGTTCAACACTGGGACTTCAATTGAAACATCCCAAAGCAGTTTCTGAGAATGCTTCTGTGTAGAGTTTACATGAAGACATTCCCGTTTCCAACGAAATCCTCAAAGCTATCCAAATATCCTCTTGCAGATTTTACAAAAAGTGTGTTTCAGAACTGCTCTATCAAAACAAAGGTTCAACACTGTCAGTTGAGGGCACACATCACAAATAAGTTTCTGAGAATGCTGCTGTCTGCTTTTTGTATGTAATCCCGTTTCCAACGAAATCCTCCCAGCTAGCCAAATATCCACTTGCAGATTCCGCAAAAAGAGTGTTTCAAAACTGCTCCTTCAAAACGATGGTTTAGTTCTGTTAGTTGAGTACATACATCACAAATAAGTTTCTGAGAATGCTTCTGTCTAGTTTTTATGGGAGGATATTTCCTTTTTCAACACAAGCCTGAATGCGCTCCGAATGGACACTTCCAGATATGACAAAAGGCGTGTTTCAAACCTGCTCTCTCAAAGGGAATGTTCAACTCTGTGACTTCAATGCAAACATCACAAAGAAGTTTCTGAGAATGCTGCTGTCTGCTTTTTACATGTATTCCCGTTTCCAACGAAATCCTCAAAGCTGCCCTAATATCCACTTGCATATTCCACAAAAAGAGTGTTGCAAAACTGCTCTCTCAAAAGAAAGGTTCAACTCTGTTAGCTGAGTAGATCCATCACATAAAAGTTTCTGACATTGCTTCTATCTAGATTTTCTTGGAAGATATTTCCATTTTCACCGTCGTCCTGAAAGCGCTCCAAATGTCCACTTCCAGGGAATGCAGAAAGAGTGTTTCCAACCTGCTCTATAAAAGGGAATGTTCAACACTGGGACTTCAATCGAAACATCCCAACGAAGTTTCTGAGAATGCTTCTGTCTAGAGTTTATATGAAGCCATTCCCGTTTGCAACGAAATCCTCAAAGCTATCCAAATATCCTCTTGCAGATTTTACAAAAAGAGTGTTTCAAAACTGCTCTATCAAAAGAAAGGTTCAACTCTGTTAGTTGAGGGCACACATCACAAATAAATTTCTGAGAATCTTCTGTCTAGTTTTTACAGGAAGATATTTCCTTTTTCACCATAGGCCAGAAAGCGCTCCAAATGTCCTCATCCAGATACTACAAAAAGAGTGTTTCCAACCTGCTCTATGAAAGGGAATGCTCAACTCTGTGACTTGAATGCAGACATCACAAAGAAGTTTCTGAGAATGCTGCTGTCTCCTTTGTATATGTAATCCCATTTCCAACGAAATCCTCAAAGCTAGCCAAATATCCACTTGCAGATTCCACGAAAACAGTGTTTCAAAACTGCTCCTTCAAAACGATGGTTCAATCCTGTTAGTTGAGCAAACACATCACAAATAAGTTTCTGAGAATGCTTCCGTCTAGTTTTTATGGGAAGATATTTCCTTTTTCAACATAGGCCTGAAAGCGCTCCAAATGTCCACTTCCAGATACTACAAAAAGAGTGTTTCAAATCTGCTCTATGAATGGGAATGTTCTACTCTGTGACTTGAATGCAACATCCCAAAGAAGTTTCTGAGAATGCTTCTGTCTAGAGTATATCTGAAGACATACCCGTTTCCAACGAAATCCTCAAAGCTATCCAAATATCCTCTTGCAGATTCTACAAAAAGTGTGTTTCAAAGCTGCTCTTTGCAAAGAAAGGTTCAACTCTGTCAGTAGAGGGCACACATCACGAACAAGTTTCTGAGAATGCTTCTGTCTAGTTTTTATGGGAAGATATTTCCTTTTTCACGTTAGGCCTGAAAGCACGCCAAATGTTCACTTATAGACACTACAAAAAGAGTGTTTCAAACCTGCTCTGTGAAAGGGAATGTTCAACACTGTGACTTCAATTGAAACATCCCAAAGAAGTTTCTGAGAATGCTTCTGTCTAGAGTTTATCTGAAGACATTCCCGTTTCCCAAGAAATCCTCAAAGCTATCCAAATATCCTCTTGCAGATTCTACAAAAAGAGTGTTTCAAAACTGCTCTTTGCAAAGAAAGGTTCAACTCTGTCAGTAGAGGGCACACATCACAAACAAGTTTCTGAGAATGCTTTCTGTCTAGTTTTTATGGGAAGATATTTCCTTTTTCACCTTAGGCCTGAAAGCAATCCATATGTTCACTTACAGACACTACAAAAAGAGTGTTTCAAACCTGCTCTGTGAAAGGGAGTGTTCAACTCTGTGACTTGAATGCAAACATCACAAAGAAGTTTCTGACAATGCTGCTGTCTGCTTTTTATACGTATTCCCGTTTCCAACGAAATCCTCCAAGCTGGCCTAATACCCACTTGCATATTCCACAAAAAGAGTGTTTCAAAACTGCTCTCTCAAAAGAAAGGTTCAACTCTGTTTGCTGTGTAGATACATCATGAAAAAAGTTCTGACATTGCTTCTATCTAGTTTTTATTGGAAGATATCTCCTTTTTCACCGTAGACCTGAAAGCGCTCCAAATGTCCACTTCCAGATAGTACAAAAAGAGTGTTTCAAACCTGCTCTATGAAAGGGAATGTTCAACACTGGGACTTCAATTGAAACATCCCAAAGCAGTTTCTGAGAATGCTTCTGTGTAGAGTTTACATGAAGACATTCCCGTTTCCAACGAAATCCTCAAAGCTATCCAAATATCCTCTTGCAGATTTTACAAAAAGTGTGTTTCAGAACTGCTCTATCAAAACAAAGGTTCAACACTGTCAGTTGAGGGCACACATCACAAATAAGTTTCTGAGAATGCTGCTGTCTGCTTTTTGTATGTAATCCCGTTTCCAACGAAATCCTCCCAGCTAGCCAAATATCCACTTGCAGATTCCGCAAAAAGAGTGTTTCAAAACTGCTCCTTCAAAACGATGGTTTAGTTCTGTTAGTTGAGTACATACATCACAGATAAGTTTCTGAGAATGCTTCTGTCTAGTTTTTATGGGAGGATATTTCCTTTTTCAACACAAGCCTGAATGCGCTCCGAATGGACACTTCCAGATATGACAAAAGGCGTGTTTCAAACCTGCTCTCTCAAAGGGAATGTTCAACTCTGTGACTTCAATGCAAACATCACAAAGAAGTTTCTGAGAATGCTGCTGTCTGCTTTTTACATGTATTCCCGTTTCCAACGAAATCCTCAAAGCTGCCCTAATATCCACTTGCATATTCCACAAAAAGAGTGTTGCAAAACTGCTCTCTCAAAAGAAAGGTTCAACTCTGTTAGCTGAGTAGATCCATCACATAAAAGTTTCTGACATTGCTTCTATCTAGATTTTCTTGGAAGATATTTCCATTTTCACCGTCGTCCTGAAAGCGCTCCAAATGTCCACTTCCAGGGAATGCAGAAAGAGTGTTTCCAACCTGCTCTATAAAAGGGAATGTTCAACACTGGGACTTCAATCGAAACATCCCAACGAAGTTTCTGAGAATGCTTCTGTCTAGAGTTTATATGAAGCGATTCCCGTTTGCAACGAAATCCTCAAAGCTATCCAAATATCCTCTTGCAGATATTACAAAAAGAGTGTTTCAAAACTGCTCTATCAAAAGAAAGGTTCAACTCTGTTAGTTGAGGGCACACATCACAAATAAACTTCTGAGAATGCTTCTGTCTAGTTTTTACGGGAAGATATTTCCTTTTTCACCATACGCCTGAAAGCGCTCCAAATGTCCTCATCCAGATACTACAAAAAGAGTGTTTCCAACCTGCTCTATGAAAGGGAATGCTCAACTCTGTGAATTGAATGCAGACATCACAAAGAAGTTTCTGAGAATGCTGCTGTCTCCTTTGTATATGTAATCCCGTTTCCAACGAAATCCTCAAAGCTAGCCAAATATCCACTTGCAGATTCCACGAAAACAGTGTTTCAAAACTGCTCCTTCAAAACGATGGTTCAATCCTGTTAGTTGAGCAAACACATCACAAATAAGTTTCTGAGAATGCTTCCGTCTAGTTTTTATGGGAAGATATTTCCTTTTTCAACATAGGCCTGAAAGCGCTCCAAATGTCCACTTCCAGATACTACAAAAAGAGTGTTTCAAATCTGCTCTATGAATGGGAATGTTCTACTCTGTGACTTGAATGCAACATCCCAAAGAAGTTTCTGAGAATGCTTCTGTCTAGAGTTTATCTGAAGACATACCCGTTTCCAACGAAATCCTCAAAGCTATCCAAATATCCTCTTGCAGATTCTACAAAAAGAGTGTTTCAAAGCTGCTCTTTGCAAAGAAAGGTTCAACTCTGTCAGTAGAGGGCACACATCACGAACAAGTTTCTGAGAATGCTTCTGTCTGGTTTTTATGGGAAGATATTTCCTTTTTCACGTTACGCCTGAAAGCACGCCAAATGTTCACTTATAGACACTACAAAAAGAGTGTTTCAAACCTGCTCTGTGAAAGGGAATGTTCAACACTGTGACTTCAATTGAAACATCCCAAAGAAGTTTCTGAGAATGCTTCTGTCTAGAGTTTATCTGAAGACATTCCCGTTTCCCAAGAAATCCTCAAAGCTATCCAAATATCCTCTTGCAGATTCTACAAAAAGAGTGTTTCAAAACTGCTCTTTGCAAAGAAAGGTTCAACTCTGTCAGTAGAGGGCACACATCACAAACAAGTTTCTGAGAATGCTTCTGTCTAGTTTTTATGGGAAGATATTTCCTTTTTCACCTTAGGCCTGAAAGCAATCCAAATGTTCACTTACAGACACTACAAAAAGAGTGTTTCAAACCTGCTCTGTGAAAGGGAGTGTTCAGTTCTGTGACTTGAATGCAAACATCACAAAGTAGTTTCTGACAATGCTGCTGTCTGCTTTTTATACGTATTCCCGTTTCCAACGAAATCCTCCAAGCTGGCCTAATACCCACTTGCATATTCCACAAAAAGAGTGTTTCAAAACTGCTCTCTCAAAAGAAAGGTTCAACTCTGTTTGCTGAGTAGATACATCATGAAAAAAGTTCTGACATTGCTTCTATCTAGTTTTTATTGGAAGATATCTCCTTTTTCACCGTAGACCTGAAAGCGCTCCAAATGTCCACTTCCAGATAGTACAAAAAGAGTGTTTCAAACCTGCTCTATGAAAGGGAATGTTCAACACTGGGACTTCAATTGAAACATCCCAAAGCAGTTTCTGAGAATGCTTCTGTCTAGAGTTTACATGAAGACATTCCCGTTTCCAACGAAATCCTCAAAGCTATCCAAATATCCTCTTGCAGATTTTACAAAAAGTGTGTTTCAGAACTGCTCTATCAAAACAAAGGTTCAACACTGTCAGTTGAGGGCACACATCACAAATAAGTTTCTGAGAATGCTGCTGTCTGCTTTTTGTATGTAATCCCGTTTCCAACGAAATCCTCCCAGCTAGCCAAATATCCACTTGCAGATTCCGCAAAAAGAGTGTTTCAAAACTGCTCCTTCAAAACGATGGTTTAGTTCTGTTAGTTGAGTACATACATCACAGATAAGTTTCTGAGAATGCTTCTGTCTAGTTTTTATGGGAGGATATTTCCTTTTTCAACACAAGCCTGAATGCGCTCCGAATGGACACTTCCAGATATGACAAAAGGCGTGTTTCAAACCTGCTCTCTCAAAGGGAATGTTCAACTCTGTGACTTCAATGCAAACATCACAAAGAAGTTTCTGAGAATGCTGCTGTCTGCTTTTTACATGTATTCCCGTTTCCAACGAAATCCTCAAAGCTGCCCTAATATCCACTTGCATATTCCACAAAAAGAGTGTTGCAAAACTGCTCTCTCAAAAGAAAGGTTCAACTCTGTTAGCTGAGTAGATCCATCACATAAAAGTTTCTGACATTGCTTCTATCTAGATTTTCTTGGAAGATATTTCCATTTTCACCGTCGTCCTGAAAGCGCTCCAAATGTCCACTTCCAGGGAATGCAGAAAGAGTGTTTCCAACCTGCTCTATAAAAGGGAATGTTCAACACTGGGACTTCAATCGAAACATCCCAACGAAGTTTCTGAGAATGCTTCTGTCTAGAGTTTATATGAAGCCATTCCCGTTTGCAACGAAATCCTCAAAGCTATCCAAATATCCTCTTGCAGATTTTACAAAAAGAGTGTTTCAAAACTGCTCTATCAAAAGAAAGGTTCAACTCTGTTAGTTGAGGGCACACATCACAAATAAATTTCTGAGAATGCTTCTGTCTAGTTTTTACGGGAAGATATTTCCTTTTTCACCATACGCCTGAAAGCGCTCCAAATGTCCTCATCCAGATACTACAAAAAGAGTGTTTCCAACCTGCTCTATGAAAGGGAATGCTCAACTCTGTGACTTGAATGCAGACATCACAAAGAAGTTTCTGAGAATGCTGCTGTCTCCTTTTTATATGTAATCCCGTTTCCAACGAAATCCTCAAAGCTAGCCAAATATCCACTTGCAGATTCCACGAAAACAGTGTTTCAAAACTGCTCCTTTAAAACGATGGTTCAATTCTGTTAGTTGAGCAAACACATCACAAGTAAGTTTCTGAGAATGCTTCCGTCTAGTTTTTATGGGAAGATATATCCTTTTTCAACATAGGCCTGAAAGCGCTCCAAATGTCCACTTCCAGATACTACAAAAAGAGTGTTTCAAATCTGCTCTATGAATGGGAATGTTCTACTCTGTGACTTGAATGCAACATCCCAAAGAAGTTTCTGAGAATGCTTCTGTCTAGAGTTTATCTGAAGACATACCCGTTTCCAACGAAATCCTCAAAGCTATCCAAATATCCTCTTGCAGATTCTACAAAAAGAGTGTTTCAAAGCTGCTCTTTGCAAAGAAAGGTTCAACTCTGTCAGTAGAGGGCACACATCACGAACAAGTGTCTGAGAATGCTTCTGTCTAGTTTTTATGGGAAGATATTTCCTTTTTCACGTTAGGCCTGAAAGCACGCCAAATGTTCACTTATAGACACTACAAAAAGAGTGTTTCAAACCTGCTCTGTGAAAGGGAATGTTCAACACTGTGACTTCAATTGAAACATCCCAAAGAAGTTTCTGAGAATGCTTCTGTCTAGAGTTTATCTGAAGACATTCCCGTTTCCCAAGAAATCCTCAAAGCTATCCAAATATCCTCTTGCAGATTCTACAAAAAGAGTGTTTCAAAACTGCTCTTTGCAAAGAAAGGTTCAACTCTGTCAGTAGAGGGCACACATCACAAACAAGTTTCTGAGAATGCTTCTGTCTAGTTTTTATGGGAAGACATTTCCTTTTTCACCTTAGGCCTGAAAGCAATCCAAATGTTCACTTACAGACACTACAAAAAGAGTGTTTCAAACCTGCTCTGTGAAAGGGAGTGTTCAATTCTGTGACTTGAATGCAAACATCACAAAGTAGTTTCTGACAATGCTGCTGTCTGCTTTTTATACGTATTCCCGTTTCCAACGAAATCCTCCAAGCTGGCCTAATACCCACTTGCATATTCCACAAAAAGAGTGTTTCAAAACTGCTCTCTCAAAAGAAAGGTTCAACTCTGTTTGCTGAGTAGATACATCATGAAAAAAGTTCTGACATTGCTTCTATCTAGTTTTTATTGGAAGATATCTCCTTTTTCACCGTAGACCTGAAAGCGCTCCAAATGTCCACTTCCAGATAGTACAAAAAGAGTGCTTCAAACCTGCTCTATGAATGGGAATGTTCAACACTGGGACTTCAATTGAAACATCCCAAAGCAGTTTCTGAGAATGCTTCTGTCTAGAGTTTACATGAAGACATTCCCGTTTCCAACGAAATCCTCAAAGCTATCCAAATATCCTCTTGCAGATTTTACAAAAAGTGTGTTTCAGAACTGCTCTATCAAAACAAAGGTTCAACACTGTCAGTTGAGGGCACACATCACAAATAAGTTTCTGAGAATGCTTCTGTCTAGTTTTCATGGGAAGATATTTCCTTTTTCACCATAGGCCTGAAAGCGATCCAAATGTCCACATCCAGATACTACAAAAAGAGTGTTTCAAACCTGCTCTATGAAAGGGAATGTTCAACTCTGTGACTTGAATGCAAACATCACAAAGAAGTTTCTGAGAATGCTGCTGTCTCCTTTTTATATGTAATCCCGTTTCCAACGAAATCCTCAAAGCTAGCCAAATATCCACTTGCAGATTCCACGAAAACAGTGTTTCAAAACTGCTCCTTCAAAACGATGGTTCAATCCTGTTAGTTGAGCAAACACATCACAAATAAGTTTCTGAGAATGCTTCCGTCTAGTTTTTATGGGAAGATATTTCCTTTTTCAACATAGGCCTGAAAGCGCTCCAAATGTCCATTTCCAGATACTACAAAAAGAGTGTTTCAAATCTGCTCTATGAATGGGAATGTTCTACTCTGTGACTTGAATGCAACATCCCAAAGAAGTTTCTGAGAATGCTTCTGTCTAGAGTTTATCTGAAGACATACCCGTTTCCAACGAAATCCTCCAAGCTATCCAAATATCCTCTTGCAGATTCTACAAAAAGTGTGTTTCAAAGCTGCTCTTTGCAAAGAAAGGTTCAACTCTGTCAGTAGAGGGCACACATCACGAACAAGTTTCTGAGAATGCTTCTGTCTAGTTTTTATGGGAAGATATTTCCTTTTTCACGTTAGGCCTGAAAGCACGCCAAATGTTCAATTATAGACACTACAAAAAGAGTGTTTCAAACCTGCTCTGTGAAAGGGAATGTTCAACACTGTGACTTCAATTGAAACATCCCAAAGAAGTTTCTGAGAATGCTTCTGTCTAGAGTTTATCTGAAGACATTCCCGTTTCCCAAGAAATCCTCAAAGCTATCCAAATATCCTCTTGCAGATTCTACAAAAAGAGTGTTTCAAAACTGGTCTTTGCAAAGAAAGGTTCAACTCTGTCAGTAGAGGGCACACATCACAAACAAGTTTCTGAGAATGCTTCTGTCTAGTTTTTATGGGAAGATATTTCCTTTTTCACCTTAGGCCTGAAAGCAATCCATATGTTCACTTACAGACACTACAAAAAGAGTGTTTCAAACCTGCTCTGTGAAAGGGAGTGTTCAATTCTGTGACTTGAATGCAAACATCACAAAGTAGTTTCTGACAATGCTGCTGTCTGCTTTTTATACGTATTCCCGTTTCCAACGAAATCCTCCAAGCTGGCCTAATACCCACTTGCATATTCCACAAAAGGAGTGTTTCAAAACTGCTCTCTCAAAAGAAAGGTTCAACTCTGTTTGCTGAGTAGATACATCATGAAAAAAGTTCTGACATTGCTTCTATCTAGTTTTTATTGGAAGATATCTCCTTTTTCACCGTAGACCTGAAAGCGCTCCAAATGTCCACTTCCAGATAGTACAAAAAGAGGGTTTCAAACCTGCTCTATGAAAGGGAATGTTCAACACTGGGACTTCAATTGAAACATCCCAAAGCAGTTTCTGAGAATGCTTCTGTCTAGAGTTTACATGAAGACATTCCCGTTTCCAACGAAATCCTCAAAGCTATCCAAATATCCTCTTGCAGATTTTACAAAAAGTGTGTTTCAGAACTGCTCTATCAAAACAAAGGTTCAACACTTGTCAGTTGAGGGCACACATCACAAATAAGTTTCTGAGAATGCTGCTGTCTGCTTTTTGTATGTAATCCCGTTTCCAACGAAATCCTCCCAGCTAGCCAAATATCCACTTGCAGATTCCGCAAAAAGAGTGTTTCAAAACTGCTCCTTCAAAACGATGGTTTAGTTCTGTTAGTTGAGTACATACATCACAGATAAGTTTCTGAGAATGCTTCTGTCTAGTTTTTATGGGAGGATATTTCCTTTTTCAACACAAGCCTGAATGCGCTCCGAATGGACACTTCCAGATATGACAAAAGGCGTGTTTCAAACCTGCTCTCTCAAAGGGAATGTTCAACTCTGTGACTTCAATGCAAACATCACAAAGAAGTTTCTGAGAATGCTGCTGTCTGCTTTTTACATGTATTCCCGTTTCCAACGAAATCCTCAAAGCTGCCCTAATATCCACTTGCATATTCCACAAAAAGAGTGTTGCAAAACTGCTCTCTCAAAAGAAAGGTTCAACTCTGTTAGCTGAGTAGATCCATCACATAAAAGTTTCTGACATTGCTTCTATCTAGATTTTCTTGGAAGATATTTCCATTTTCACCGTCGTCCTGAAAGCGCTCCAAATGTCCACTTCCAGGGAATGCAGAAAGAGTGTTTCCAACCTGCTCTATAAAAGGGAATGTTCAACACTGGGACTTCAATCGAAACATCCCAACGAAGTTTCTGAGAATGCTTCTGTCTAGAGTTTATATGAAGCCATTCCCGTTTGCAACGAAATCCTCAAAGCTATCCAAATATCCTCTTGCAGATTTTACAAAAAGAGTGTTTCAAAACTGCTCTATCAAAAGAAAGGTTCAACTCTGTTAGTTGAGGGCACACATCACAAATAAATTTCTGAGAATGCTTCTGTCTAGTTTTTACGGGAAGATATTTCCTTTTTCACCATACGCCTGAAAGCGCTCCAAATGTCCTCATCCAGATACTACAAAAAGAGTGTTTCCAACCTGCTCTATGAAAGGGAATGCTCAACTCTGTGAATTGAATGCAGACATCACAAAGAAGTTTCTGAGAATGCTGCTGTCTCCTTTTTATATGTAATCCCGTTTCCAACGAAATCCTCAAAGCTAGCCAAATATCCACTTGCAGATTCCACGAAAACAGTGTTTCAAAACTGCTCCTTCAAAACGATGGTTCAATCCTGTTAGTTGAGCAAACACATCACAAATAAGTTTCTGAGAATGCTTCCGTCTAGTTTTTATGGGAAGATATTTCCTTTTTCAACATAGGCCTGAAAGCGCTCCAAATGTCCACTTCCAGATACTACAAAAAGAGTGTTTCAAATCTGCTCTATGAATGGGAATGTTCTACTCTGTGACTTGAATGCAACATCCCAAAGAAGTTTCTGAGAATGCTTCTGTCTAGAGTTTATCTGAAGACATACCCGTTTCCAACGAAATCCTCAAAGCTATCCAAATATCCTCTGGCAGATTCTACAAAAAGAGTGTTTCAAAGCTGCTCTTTGCAAAGAAAGGTTCAACTCTGTCAGTAGAGGGCACACATCACGAACAAGTTTCTGAGAATGCTTCTGTCTAGTTTTTATGGGAAGATATTTCCTTTTTCACGTTAGGCCTGAAAGCACGCCAAATGTTCACTTATAGACACTACAAAAAGAGTGTTTCAAACCTGCTCTGTGAAAGGGAATGTTCAACACTGTGACTTCAATTGAAATATCCCAAGAAGTTTCTGAGAATGCTTCTGTCTAGAGTTTATCTGAAGACATTCCCGTTTCCCAAGAAATCCTCAAAGCTATCCAAATATCCTCTTGCAGATTCTACAAAAAGAGTGTTTCAAAACTGCTCTTTGCAAAGAAAGGTTCAACTCTGTCAGTAGAGGGCACACATCACAAACAAGTTTCTGAGAATGCTTCTGTCTAGTTTTTATGGGAAGATATTTCCTTTTTCACGTTAGGCCTGAAAGCACGCCAAATGTTCACTTATAGACACTACAAAAAGAGTGTTTCAAACCTGCTCTGTGAAAGGGAGTGTTCAATTCTGTGACTTGAATGCAAACATCACAAAGTAGTTTCTGACAATGCTGCTGTCTGCTTTTTATACGTATTCCCGTTTCCAACGAAATCCTCCAAGCTGGCCTAATACCCACTTGCATATTCCACAAAGACTGTGTCAAAACTGCTCTCTCAAAAGAAAGGTTCAACTCTGTTTGCTGAGTAGATACATCATGAAAAAAGTTCTGACATTGCTTCTATCTAGTTTTTATTGGAAGATATCTCCTTTTTCACCGTAGACCTGAAAGCGCTCCAAATGTCCACTTCCAGATAGTACAAAAAGAGTGTTTCAAACCTGCTCTATGAAAGGGAATGTTCAACACTGGGACTTCAATTGAAACATCCCAAAGCAGTTTCTGAGAATGCTTCTGTCTAGAGTTTACATGAAGACATTCCCGTTTCCAACGAAATCCTCAAAGCTATCCAAATATCCTCTTGCAGATTTTACAAAAAGTGTGTTTCAGAACTGCTCTATCAAAACAAAGGTTCAACACTGTCAGTTGAGGGCACACATCACAAATAAGTTTCTGAGAATGCTGCTGTCTGCTTTTTGTATGTAATCCCGTTTCCAACGAAATCCTCCCAGCTAGCCAAATATCCACTTGCAGATTCCGCAAAAAGAGTGTTTCAAAACTGCTCCTTCAAAACGATGGTTTAGTTCTGTTAGTTGAGTACATACATCACAGATAAGTTTCTGAGAATGCTTCTGTCTAGTTTTTATGGGAGGATATTTCCTTTTTCAACACAAGCCTGAATGCGCTCCGAATGGACACTTCCAGATATGACAAAAGGCGTGTTTCAAACCTGCTCTCTCAAAGGGAATGTTCAACTCTGTGACTTCAATGCAAACATCACAAAGAAGTTTCTGAGAATGCTGCTGTCTGCTTTTTACATGTATTCCCGTTTCCAACGAAATCCTCAAAGCTGCCCTAATATCCACTTGCATATTCCACAAAAAGAGTGTTGCAAAACTGCTCTCTCAAAAGAAAGGTTCAACTCTGTTAGCTGAGTAGATCCATCACAGAAAAGTTTCTGACGTTGCTTCTATCTAGATTTTCTTGGAAGATATTTCCATTTTCACCGTCGTCCTGAAAGCGCTCCAAATGTCCACTTCCAGGGAATGCAGAAAGAGTGTTTCCAACCTGCTCTATAAAAGGGAATGTTCAACACTGGGACTTCAATCGAAACATCCCAACGAAGTTTCTGAGAATGCTTCTGTCTAGAGTTTATATGAAGCCATTCCCGTTTGCAACGAAATCCTCAAAGCTATCCAAATATCCTCTTGCAGATTTTACAAAAAGAGTGTTTCAAAACTGCTCTATCAAAAGAAAGGTTCAACTCTGTTAGTTGAGGGCACACATCAGAAATAAACTTCTGAGAATGCTCTGTCTAGTTTTTACGGGAAGATATTTCCTTTTTCACCATAGGCCTGAAAGCGCTCCAAATGTCCTCATCCAGATACTACAAAAAGAGTGTTTCCAACCTGCTCTATGAAAGGGAATGCTCAACTCTGTGAATTGAATGCAGACATCACAAAGAAGTTTCTGAGAATGCTGGCTGTCTCCTTTTTATATGTAATCCCGTTTCCAACGAAATCCTCAAAGCTAGCCAAATATCCACTTGCAGATTCCACGAAAACAGTGTTTCAAAACTGCTCCTTCAAAACGATGGTTCAATCCTGTTAGTTGAGCAAACACATCACAAATAAGTTTCTGAGAATGCTTCCGTCTAGTTTTTATGGGAAGATATTTCCTTTTTCAACATAGGCCTGAAAGCGCTCCAAATGTCCACTTCCAGATACTACAAAAAGAGTGTTTCAAATCTGCTCTATGAATGGGAATGTTCTACTCTGTGACTTGAATGCAACATCCCAAAGAAGTTTCTGAGAATGCTTCTGTCTAGAGTTTATCTGAAGACATACCCGTTTCCAACGAAATCCTCAAAGCTATCCAAATATCCTCTTGCAGATTCTACAAAAAGAGTGTTTCAAAGCTGCTCTTTGCAAAGAAAGGTTCAACTCTGTCAGTAGAGGGCACACATCACAAACCAAGTTTCTGAGAATGCTTCTGTCTAGTTTTTATGGGAAGATATTTCCTTTTTCACGTTAGGCCTGAAAGCACGCCAAATGTTCAATTATAGACACTACAAAAAGAGTGTTTCAAACCTGCTCTGTGAAAGGGAATGTTCAACACTGTGACTTCAATTGAAACATCCCAAAGAAGTTTGCTGAGAATGCTTCTGTCTAGAGTTTATCTGAAGACATTCCCGTTTCCCAAGAAATCCTCAAAGCTATCCAAATATCCTCTTGCAGATTCTACAAAAAGAGTGTTTCAAAACTGGTCTTTGCAAAGAAAGGTTCAACTCTGTCAGTAGAGGGCACACATCACAAACAAGTTTCTGAGAATGCTTCTGTCTAGTTTTTATGGGAAGATATTTCCTTTTTCACCTTAGGCCTGAAAGCAATCCATATGTTCACTTACAGACACTACAAAAAGAGTGTTTCAAACCTGCTCTGTGAAAGGGAGTGTTCAATTCTGTGACTTGAATGCAAACATCACAAAGTAGTTTCTGACAATGCTGCTGTCTGCTTTTTATACGTATTCCCGTTTCCAACGAAATCCTCCAAGCTGGCCTAATACCCACTTGCATATTCCACAAAAAGAGTGTTTCAAAACTGCTCTCTCAAAAGAAAGGTTCAACTCTGTTAGCTGAGTAGATACATCATGAAAAAAGTTCTGACATTGCTTTCTATCTAGTTTTTATTGGAAGATATCTCCTTTTTCACCGTAGACCTGAAAGCGCTCCAAATGTCCACTTCCAGATAGTACAAAAAGAGTGTTTCAAACCTGCTCTATTAAAGGGAATGTTCAACACTGGGACTTCAATTGAAACATCCCAAAGCAGTTTCTGAGAATGCTTCTGTCTAGAGTTTACATGAAGACATTCCCGTTTCCAACGAAATCCTCAAAGCTATCCAAATATCCTCTTGCAGATTTTACAAAAAGTGTGTTTCAGAACTGCTCTATCAAAACAAAGGTTCAACACTGTCAGTTGAGGGCACACATCACAAATAAGTTTCTGAGAATGCTGCTGTCTGCTTTTTGTATGTAATCCCGTTTCCAACGAAATCCTCCCAGCTAGCCAAATATCCACTTGCAGATTCCGCAAAAAGAGTGTTTCAAAACTGCTCCTTCAAAACGATGGTTTAGTTCTGTTAGTTGAGTACATACATCACAGATAAGTTTCTGAGAATGCTTCTGTCTAGTTTTTATGGGAGGATATTTCCTTTTTCAACACAAGCCTGAATGCGCTCCGAATGGACACTTCCAGATATGACAAAAGGCGTGTTTCAAACCTGCTCTCTCAAAGGGAATGTTCAACTCTGTGACTTCAATGCAAACATCACAAAGAAGTTTCTGAGAATGCTGCTGTCTGCTTTTTACATGTATTCCCGTTTCCAACGAAATCCTCAAAGCTGCCCTAATATCCACTTGCATATTCCACAAAAAGAGTGTTGCAAAACTGCTCTCTCAAAAGAAAGGTTCAACTCTGTTAGCTGAGTAGATCCATCACAGAAAAGTTTCTGACGTTGCTTCTATCTAGATTTTCTTGGAAGATATTTCCATTTTCACCGTCGTCCTGAAAGCGCTCCAAATGTACACTTCCAGGGAATGCAGAAAGAGTGTTTCCAACCTGCTCTATAAAAGGGAATGTTCAACACTGGGACTTCAATCGAAACATCCCAACGAAGTTTCTGAGAATGCTTCTGTCTAGAGTTTATATGAAGCCATTCCCGTTTGCAACGAAATCCTCAAAGCTATCCAAATATCCTCTTGCAGATTTTACAAAAAGAGTGTTTCAAAACTGCTCTATCAAAAGAAAGGTTCAACTCTGTTAGTTGAGGGCACACATCACAAATAAATTTCTGAGAATGCTTCTGTCTAGTTTTTACGGGAAGATATTTCCTTTTTCACCATACGCCTGAAAGCGCTCCAAATGTCCTCATCCAGATACTACAAAAAGAGTGTTTACAACCTGCTCTATGAAAGGGAATGCTCAACTCTGTGACTTGAATGCAGACATCACAAAGAAGTTTCTGAGAATGCTGCTGTCTCCTTTTTATATGTAATCCCGTTTCCAACGAAATCCTCAAAGCTAGCCAAATATCCACTTGCAGATTCCACGAAAACAGTGTTTCAAAACTGCTCCTTCAAAACGATGGTTCAATCCTGTTAGTTGAGCAAACACATCACAAATAAGTTTCTGAGAATGCTTCCGTCTAGTTTTTATGGGAAGATATTTCGTTTCTCAACATAGGCCTGAAAGCGCTCCAAATGTCCACTTCCAGATACTACAAAAAGAGTGTTTCAAATCTGCTCTATGAATGGGAATGTTCTACTCTGTGACTTGAATGCAACATCCCAAAGAAGTTTCTGAGAATGCTTCTGTCTAGAGTTTATGTGAAGACATACCCGTTTCCAACAAAATCCTCAAAGCTATCCAAATATCCTCTTGCAGATTCTACAAAAAGAGTGTTTCAAAGCTGCTCTTTGCAAAGAAAGGTTCAACTCTGTCAGTAGAGGGCACACATCACAAACAAGTTTCTGAGAATGCTTCTGTCTAGTTTTTATGGGAAGATATTTCCTTTTTCACGTTAGGCCTGAAAGCACGCCAAATGTTCACTTATAGACACTACAAAAAGAGTGTTTCAAACCTGCTCTGTGAAAGGGAATGTTCAACACTGTGACTTCAATTGAAACATCCCAAAGAAGTTTCTGAGAATGCTTCTGTCTAGAGTTTATCTGAAGACATTCCCGTTTCCCAAGAAATCCTCAAAGCTATCCAAATATCCTCTTGCAGATTCTACAAAAAGAGTGTTTCAAAACTGCTCTTTGCAAAGAAAGGTTCAACTCTGTCAGTAGAGGGCACACATCACAAACAAGTTTCTGAGAATGCTTCTGTCTAGTTTTTATGGGAAGATATTTCCTTTTTCACCTTAGGCCTGAAAGCAATCCAAATGTTCACTTACAGACACTACAAAAAGAGTGTTTCAAACCTGCTCTGTGAAAGGGAGTGTTCAATTCTGTGACTTGAATGCAAACATCACAAAGTAGTTTCTGACAATGCTGCTGTCGTCTTTTTATACGTATTCCCGTTTCCAACGAAATCCTCCAAGCTGGCCTAATACCCACTTGCATATTCCACAAAAAGAGTGTTTCAAAACTGCTCTCTCAAAAGAAAGGTTCAACTCTGTTAGCTGAGTAGATACATCATGAAAAAAGTTCTGACATTGCTTCTATCTAGTTTTTATTGGAAGATATCTCCTTTTTCACCGTAGACCTGAAAGCGCTCCAAATGTCCACTTCCAGATAGTACAAAAAGAGTGTTTCAAACCTGCTCTATGAATGGGAATGTTCAACACTGGGACTTCAATTGAAACATCCCAAAGCAGTTTCTGAGAATGCTTCTGTCTAGAGTTTACATGAAGACATTCCCGTTTCCAACGAAATCCTCAAAGCTATCCAAATATCCTCTTGCAGATTTTACAAAAAGTGTGTTTCAGAACTGCTCTATCAAAACAAAGGTTCAACACTGTCAGTTGAGGGCACACATCACCAATAAGTTTCTGAGAATGCTTCTGTCTAGTTTTCATGGGAAGATATTTCCTTTTTCACCATAGGCCTGAAAGCGATCCAAATGTCCACATCCAGATACTACAAAAAGAGTGTTTCAAACCTGCTCTATGAAAGGGAATGTTCAACTCTGTGACTTGAATGCAAACATCACAAAGAAGTTTCTGAGAATGCTGCTGTCTCCTTTTTATATGTAATCCCGTTTCCAACGAAATCCTCAAAGCTAGCCAAATATCCACTTGCAGATTCCACGAAAACAGTGTTTCAAAACTGCTCCTTCAAAACGATGGTTCAATTCTGTTAGTTGAGCAAACACATCACAAGTAAGTTTCTGAGAATGCTTCCGTCTAGTTTTTATGGGAACATATTTCCTTTTTCAACATAGGCCTGAAAGCGCTCCAAATGTCCACTTCCAGATACTACAAAAAGAGTGTTTCAAATCTGCTCTATGAATGGGAATGTTCTACTCTGTGACTTGAATGCAACATCCCAAAGAAGTTTCTGAGAATGCTTCTGTCTAGAGTTTATCTGAAGACATACCCGTTTCCAACGAAATCCTCAAAGCTATCCAAATATCCTCTTGCAGATTCTACAAAAAGAGTGTTTCAAAGCTGCTCTTTGCAAAGAAAGGTTCAACTCTGTCAGTAGAGGGCACACATCACGAACAAGTTTCTGAGAATGCTTCTGTCTGGTTTTTATGGGAAGATATTTCCTTTTTCACGTTACGCCTGAAAGCACGCCAAATGTTCACTTATAGACACTACAAAAAGAGTGTTTCAAACCTGCTCTGTGAAAGGGAATGTTCAACACTGTGACTTCAATTGAAACATCCCAAAGAAGTTTCTGAGAATGCTTCTGTCTAGAGTTTATCTGAAGACATTCCCGTTTCCCAAGAAATCCTCAAAGCTATCCAAATATCCTCTTGCAGATTCTACAAAAAGAGTGTTTCAAAACTGCTCTTTGCAAAGAAAGGTTCAACTCTGTCAGTAGAGGGCACACATCACAAACAAGTTTCTGAGAATGCTTCTGTCTAGTTTTTATGGGAAGATATTTCCTTTTTCACCTTAGGCCTGAAAGCAATCCAAATGTTCACTTACAGACACTACAAAAAGAGTGTTTCAAACCTGCTCTGTGAAAGGGAGTGTTCAATTCTGTGACTTGAATGCAAACATCACAAAGTAGTTTCTGACAATGCTGCTGTCTGCTTTTTATACGTATTCCCGTTTCCAACGAAATCCTCCAAGCTGGCCTAATACCCACTTGCATATTCCACAAAGACAGTGTCAAAACTGCTCTCTCAAAACAAAGGTTCAACTCTGTTTGCTGAGTAGATACATCATGAAAAAAGTTCTGACATTGCTTCTATCTAGTTTTTATTGGAAGATATCTCCTTTTTCACCGTAGACCTGAAAGCGCTCCAAATGTCCACTTCCAGATAGTACAAAAAGAGTGTTTCAAACCTGCTCTATGAAAGGGAATGTTCAACACTGGGACTTCAATTGAAACATCCCAAAGCAGTTTCTGAGAATGCTTTCTGTCTAGAGTTTACATGAAGACATTCCCGTTTCCAACGAAATCCTCAAAGCTATCCAAATATCCTCTTGCAGATTTTACAAAAAGTGTGTTTCAGAACTGCTCTATCAAAACAAAGGTTCAACACTGTCAGTTGAGGGCACACATCACAAATAAGTTTCTGAGAATGCTGCTCTCTGCTTTTTGTATGTAATCCCGTTTCCAACGAAATCCTCCCAGCTAGCCAAATATCCACTTGCAGATTCCGCAAAAAGAGTGTTTCAAAACTGCTCCTTCAAAACGATGGTTTAGTTCTGTTAGTTGAGTACATACATCACAGATAAGTTTCTGAGAATGCTTCTGTCTAGTTTTTATGGGAGGATATTTCCTTTTTCAACACAAGCCTGAATGCGCTCCGAATGGACACTTCCAGATATGACAAAAGGCGTGTTTCAAACCTGCTCTCTCAAAGGGAATGTTCAACTCTGTGACTTCAATGCAAACATCACAAAGAAGTTTCTGAGAATGCTGCTGTCTGCTTTTTACATGTATTCCCGTTTCCAACGAAATCCTCAAAGCTGCCCTAATATCCACTTGCATATTCCACAAAAAGAGTGTTGCAAAACTGCTCTCTCAAAAGAAAGGTTCAACTCTGTTAGCTGAGTAGATCCATCACATAAAAGTTTCTGACGTTGCTTCTATCTAGATTTTCTTGGAAGATATTTCCATTTTCACCGTCGTCCTGAAAGCGCTCCAAATGTCCACTTCCAGGGAATGCAGAAAGAGTGTTTCCAACCTGCTCTATAAAAGGGAATGTTCAACACTGGGACTTCAATCGAAACATCCCAACGAAGTTTCTGAGAATGCTTCTGTCTAGAGTTTATATGAAGCCATTCCCGTTTGCAACGAAATCCTCAAAGCTATCCAAATATCCTCTTGCAGATTTTACAAAAAGAGTGTTTCAAAACTGCTCTATCAAAAGAAAGGTTCAACTCGGTTAGTTGAGGGCACACCTCACAAATAAATTTCTGAGAATGCTTCTGTCTAGTTTTTACGGGAAGATATTTCCTTTTTCACCATACGCCTGAAAGCGCTCCAAATGTCCTCATCCAGATACTACAAAAAGAGTGTTTCCAACCTGCTCTATGAAAGGGAATGCTCAACTCTGTGACTTGAATGCAGACATCACAAAGAAGTTTCTGAGAATGCTGCTGTCTCCTTTGTATATGTAATCCCGTTTCCAACGAAATCCTCAAAGCTAGCCAAATATCCACTTGCAGATTCCACGAAAACAGTGTTTCAAAACTGCTCCTTCAAAACGATGGTTCAATCCTGTTAGTTGAGCAAACACATCACAAATAAGTTTCTGAGAATGCTTCCGTCTAGTTTTTATGGGAAGATATTTCCTTTTTCAACATAGGCCTGAAAGCGCTCCAAATGTCCATTTCCAGATACTACAAAAAGAGTGTTTCAAATCTGCTCTATGAATGGGAATGTTCTACTCTGTGACTTGAATGCAACATCCCAAAGAAGTTTCTGAGAATGCTTCTGTCTAGAGTTTATCTGAAGACATACCCGTTTCCAACGAAATCCTCAAAGCTATCCAAATATCCTCTTGCAGATTCTACAAAAAGTGTGTTTCAAAGCTGCTCTTTGCAAAGAAAGGTTCAACTCTGTCAGTAGAGGGCACACATCACGAACAAGTTTCTGAGAATGCTTCTGTCTAGTTTTTATGGGAAGATATTTCCTTTTTCACGTTAGGCCTGAAAGCACGCCAAATGTTCACTTATAGACACTACAAAAAGAGTGTTTGAAACCTGCTCTGTGAAAGGGAATGTTCAACACTGTGACTTCAATTGAAACATCCCAAAGAAGTTTCTGAGAATGCTTCTGTCTAGAGTTTATCTGAAGACATTCCCGTTTCCCAAGAAATCCTCAAAGCTATCCAAATATCCTCTTGCAGATTCTACAAAAAGAGTGTTTCAAAACTGGTCTTTGCAAAGAAAGGTTCAACTCTGTCAGTAGAGGGCACACATCACAAACAAGTTTCTGAGAATGCTTCTGTCTAGTTTTTATGGGAAGATATTTCCTTTTTCACCTTAGGCCTGAAAGCAATCCATATGTTCACTTACAGACACTACAAAAAGAGTGTTTCAAACCTGCTCTGTGAAAGGGAGTGTTCAATTCTGTGACTTGAATGCAAACATCACAAAGTAGTTTCTGACAATGCTGCTGTCTGCTTTTTATACGTATTCCCGTTTCCAACGAAATCCTCCAAGCTGGCCTAATACCCACTTGCATATTCCACAAAAAGAGTGTTTCAAAACTGCTCTCTCAAAAGAAAGGTTCAACTCTGTTTGCTGAGTAGATACATCATGAAAAAAGTTCTGACATTGCTTCTATCTAGTTTTTATTGGAAGATATCTCCTTTTTCACCGTAGACCTGAAAGCGCTCCAAATGTCCACTTCCAGATAGTACAAAAAGAGTGTTTCAAACCTGCTCTATGAAAGGGAATGTTCAACACTGGGACTTCAATTGAAACATCCCAAAGCAGTTTCTGAGAATGCTTCTGTGTAGAGTTTACATGAAGACATTCCCGTTTCCAACGAAATCCTCAAAGCTATCCAAATATCCTCTTGCAGATTTTACAAAAGGTGTGTTTCAGAACTGCTCTATCAAAACAAAGGTTCAACACTGTCAGTTGAGGGCACACATCACCAATAAGTTTCTGAGAATGCTTCTGTCTAGTTTTCATGGGAAGATATTTCCTTTTTCACCATAGGCCTGAAAGCGATCCAAATGTCCACATCCAGATACTACAAAAAGAGTGTTTCAAACCTGCTCTATGAAAGGGAATGTTCAACTCTGTGACTTGAATGCAAACATCACAAAGAAGTTTCTGAGAATGCTGCTGTCTCCTTTTTATATGTAATCCCGTTTCCAACGAAATCCTCAAAGCTAGCCAAATATCCACTTGCAGATTCCACGAAAACAGTGTTTCAAAACTGCTCCTTCAAAACGATGGTTCAATTCTGTTAGTTGAGCAAACACATCACAAGTAAGTTTCTGAGAATGCTTCCGTCTAGTTTTTATGGGAAGATATTTCCTTTTTCAACATAGGCCTGAAAGCGCTCCAAATGTCCACTTCCAGATACTACACAAAGAGTGTTTCAAATCTGCTCTATGAATGGGAATGTTCTACTCTGTGACTTCAATTGAAACATCCCAAAGAAGTTTCTGAGAATGCTTCTGTCTAGAGTTTATCTGAAGACATACCCGTTTCCAACGAAATCCTCAAAGCTATCCAAATATCCTCTTGCAGATTCTACAAAAAGAGTGTTTCAAAGCTGCTCTTTGCAAAGAAAGGTTCAACTCTGTCAGTAGAGGGCACACATCACGAACAAGTTTCTGAGAATGCTTCTGTCTAGTTTTTATGGGAAGATATTTCCTTTTTCACGTTAGGCCTGAAAGCACGCCAAATGTTCACTTATAGACACTACAAAAAGAGTGTTTCAAACCTGCTCTGTGAAAGGGAATGTTCAACACTGTGACTTCAATTGAAACATCCCAAAGAAGTTTCTGAGAATGCTTCTGTCTGGAGTTTATCTGAAGACATTCCCGTTTCCCAAGAAATCCTCAAAGCTATCCAAATATCCTCTTGCAGATTCTACAAAAAGAGTGTTTCAAAACTGCTCTTTGCAAAGAAAGGTTCAACTCTGTCAGTAGAGGGCACACATCACAAACAAGTTTCTGAGAATGCTTCTGTCTAGTTTTTATGGGAAGATATTTCCTTTTTCACCTTAGGCCTGAAAGCAATCCAAATGTTCACTTACAGACACTACAAAAAGAGTGTTTCAAACCTGCTCTGTGAAAGGGAGTGTTCAATTCTGTGACTTGAATGCAAACATCACAAAGTAGTTTCTGACAATGCTGCTGTCTGCTTTTTATACGTATTCCCGTTTCCAACGAAATCCTCCAAGCTGGCCTAATACCCACTTGCATATTCCACAAAAATAGTGTTTCAAAACTGCTCCCTCAAAAGAAAGGTTCAACTCTGTTTGCTGAGTAGATACATCATGAAAAAAGTTCTGACATTGCTTCTATCTAGTTTTTATTGGAAGATATCTCCTTTTTCACCGTAGACCTGAAAGCGCTCCAAATGTCCACTTCCAGATAGTACAAAAAGAGTGTTTCAAACCTGCTCTATGAATGGGAATGTTCAACACTGGGACTTCAATTGAAACATCCCAAAGCAGTTTCTGAGAATGCTTCTGTGTAGAGTTTACATGAAGACATTCCCGTTTCCAACGAAATCCTCAAAGCTATCCAAATATCCTCTTGCAGATTTTACAAAAAGTGTGTTTCAGAACTGCTCTATCAAAACAAAGGTTCAACACTGTCAGTTGAGGGCACACATCACAAATAAGTTTCTGAGAATGCTGCTGTCTGCTTTTTGTATGTAATCCCGTTTCCAACGAAATCCTCCCAGCTAGCCAAATATCCACTTGCAGATTCCGCAAAAAGAGTGTTTCAAAACTGCTCCTTCAAAACGATGGTTTAGTTCTGTTAGTTGAGTACATACATCACAGATAAGTTTCTGAGAATGCTTCTGTCTAGTTTTTATGGGAGGATATTTCCTTTTTCAACACAAGCCTGAATGCGCTCCGAATGGACACTTCCAGATATGACAAAAGGCGTGTTTCAAACCTGCTCTCTCAAAGGGAATGTTCAACTCTGTGACTTCAATGCAAACATCACAAAGAAGTTTCTGAGAATGCTGCTGTCTGCTTTTTACATGTATTCCCGTTTCCAACGAAATCCTCAAAGCTGCCCTAATATCCACTTGCATATTCCACAAAAAGAGTGTTGCAAAACTGCTCTCTCAAAAGAAAGGTTCAACTCTGTTAGCTGAGTAGATCCATCACAGAAAAGTTTCTGACGTTGCTTCTATCTAGATTTTCTTGGAAGATATTTCCATTTTCACCGTCGTCCTGAAAGCGCTCCAAATGTCCACTTCCAGGGAATGCAGAAAGAGTGTTTCCAACCTGCTCTATAAAAGGGAATGTTCAACACTGGGACTTCAATCGAAACATCCCAACGAAGTTTCTGAGAATGCTTCTGTCTAGAGTTTATATGAAGCCATTCCCGTTTGCAATGAAATCCTCAAAGCTATCCAAATATCCTCTTGCAGATTTTACAAAAAGAGTGTTTCAAAACTGCTCTATCAAAAGAAAGGTTCAACTCTGTTAGTTGAGGGCACACATCACAAATAAATTTCTGAGAATGCTTCTGTCTAGTTTTTACGGGAAGATATTTCCTTTTTCACCATAGGCCTGAAAGCGCTCCAAATGTCCTCATCCAGATACTACAAAAAGAGTGTTTCCAACCTGCTCTATGAAAGGGAATGCTCAACTCTGTGAATTGAATGCAGACATCACAAAGAAGTTTCTGAGAATGCTGCTGTCTCCTTTTTATATGTAATCCCGTTTCCAACGAAATCCTCAAAGCTAGCCAAATATCCACTTGCAGATTCCACGAAAACAGTGTTTCAAAACTGCTCCTTCAAAACGATGGTTCAATCCTGTTAGTTGAGCAAACACATCACAAATAAGTTTCTGAGAATGCTTCCGTCTAGTTTTTATGGGAAGATATTTCCTTTTTCAACATAGGCCTGAAAGCGCTCCAAATGTCCACTTCCAGATACTACAAAAAGAGTGTTTCAAATCTGCTCTATGAATGGGAATGTTCTACTCTGTGACTTGAATGCAACATCCCAAAGAAGTTTCTGAGAATGCTTCTGTCTAGAGTTTATCTGAAGACATACCCGTTTCCAACGAAATCCTCCAAGCTATCCAAATATCCTCTTGCAGATTCTACAAAAAGAGTGTTTCAAAGCTGCTTTTTGCAAAGAAAGGTTCAACTCTGTCAGTAGAGGGCACACATCAAGAACAAGTTTCTGAGAATGCTTCTGTCTAGTTTTTATGGGAAGATATTTCCTTTTTCACGTTACGCCTGAAAGCACGCCAAATGTTCACTTATAGACACTACAAAAAGAGTGTTTCAAACCTGCTCTGTGAAAGGGAATGTTCAACACTGTGACTTCAATTGAAACATCCCAAAGAAGTTTCTGAGAATGCTTCTGTCTAGAGTTTATCTGAAGACATTCCCGTTTCCCAAGAAATCCTCAAAGCTATCCAAATATCCTCTTGCAGATTCTACAAAAAGAGTGTTTCAAAACTGCTCTTTGCAAAGAAAGGTTCAACTCTGTCAGTAGAGGGCACACATCACAAACAAGTTTCTGAGAATGCTTCTGTCTAGTTTTTATGGGAAGATATTTCCTTTTTCACCTTAGGCCTGAAAGCAATCCATATGTTCACTTACAGACACTACAAAAAGAGTGTTTCAAACCTGCTCTGTGAAAGGGAGTGTTCAATTCTGTGACTTGAATGCAAACATCACAAAGTAGTTTCTGACAATGCTGCTGTCTGCTTTTTATACGTATTCCCGTTTCCAACGAAATCCTCCAAGCTGGCCTAATACCCACTTGCATATTCCACAAAAAGAGTGTTTCAAAACTGCTCTCTCAAAAGAAAGGTTCAACTCTGTTTGCTGAGTAGATACATCATGAAAAAAGTTCTGACATTGCTTCTATCTAGTTTTTATTGGAAGATATCTCCTTTTTCACCGTAGACCTGAAAGCGCTCCAAATGTCCACTTCCAGATAGTACAAAAAGAGTGTTTCAAACCTGCTCTATGAAAGGGAATGTTCAACACTGGGACTTCAATTGAAACATCCCAAAGCAGTTTCTGAGAATGCTTCTGTCTAGAGTTTACATGAAGACATTCCCGTTTCCAACGAAATCCTCAAAGCTATCCAAATATCCTCTTGCAGATTTTACAAAAAGTGTGTTTCAGAACTGCTCTATCAAAACAAAGGTTCAACACTGTCAGTTGAGGGCACACATCACAAATAAGTTTCTGAGAATGCTTCTGTCTAGTTTTCATGGGAAGATATTTCCTTTTTCACCATAGGCCTGAAAGCGATCCAAATGTCCACATCCAGATACTACAAAAAGAGTGTTTCAAACCTGCTCTATGAAAGGGAATGTTCAACTCTGTGACTTGAATGCAAACATCACAAAGAAGTTTCTGAGAATGCTGCTGTCTCCTTTTTATAGGTAATCCCGTTTCCAACGAAATCCTCAAAGCTAGCCAAATATCCACTTGCAGATTCCACGAAAACAGTGTTTCAAAAGTGCTCCTTCAAAACGATGGTTCAATTCTGTTAGTTGAGCAAACACATCACAAGTAAGTTTCTGAAAATGCTTCCGTCTAGTTTTTATGGCAAGATATTTCCTTTTTCAACATAGGCCTGAAAGCGCTCCAAATGTCCACTTCCAGATACTACAAAAAGAGTGTTTCAAATCTGCTCTATGAATGGGAATGTTCTACTCTGTGACTTGAATGCAGCATCCCAAAGAAGTTTCTGAGAATGCTTCTGTCTAGAGTTTATCTGAAGACATACCCGTTTCCAACGAAATCCTCAAAGCTATCCAAATATCCTCTTGCAGATTCTACAAAAAGAGTGTTTCAAAGCTGCTCTTTGCAAAGAAAGGTTCAACTCTGTCAGTAGAGGGCACACATCACAAACAAGTTTCTGAGAATGCTTCTGTCTAGTTTTTATGGGAAGATATTTCCTTTTTCACGTTAGGCCTGAAAGCACGCCAAATGTTCACTTATAGACACTACAAAAAGAGTGTTTCAAACCTGCTCTGTGAAAGGGAATGTTCAACACTGTGACTTCAATTGAAACATCCCAAAGAAGTTTCTGAGAATGCTTCTGTCTAGAGTTTATCTGAAGACATTCCCGTTTCCCAAGAAATCCTCAAAGCTATCCAAATATCCTCTTGCAGATTCTACAAAAAGAGTGTTTCAAAACTGGTCTTTGCAAAGAAAGGTTCAACTCTGTCAGTAGAGGGCACACATCACAAACAAGTTTCTGAGAATGCTTCTGTCTAGTTTTTATGGGAAGATATTTCCTTTTTCACCTTAGGCCTGAAAGCAATCCATATGTTCACTTACAGACACTACAAAAAGAGTGTTTCAAACCTGCTCTGTGAAAGGGAGTGTTCAATTCTGTGACTTGAATGCAAACATCACAAAGTAGTTTCTGACAATGCTGCTGTCTGCTTTTTATACGTATTCCCGTTTCCAACGAAATCCTCCAAGCTGGCCTAATACCCACTTGCATATTCCACAAAAAGAGTGTTTCAAAACTGCTCTCTCAAAAGAAAGGTTCAACTCTGTTTGCTGAGTAGATACATCATGAAAAAAGTTCTGACATTGCTTCTATCTAGTTTTTATTGGAAGATATCTCCTTTTTCACCGTAGACCTGAAAGCGCTCCAAATGTCCACTTCCAGATAGTACAAAAAGAGTGTTTCAAACCTGCTCTATGAATGGGAATGTTCAACACTGGGACTTCAATTGAAACATCCCAAAGCAGTTTCTGAGAATGCTTCTGTCCAGAGTTTACATGAAGACATTCCCGTTTCCAACGAAATCCTCAAAGCTATCCAAATATCCTCTTGCAGATTTTACAAAAAGTGTGTTTCAGAACTGCTCTATCAAAACAAAGTTTCAACACTGTCAGTTGAGGGCACACATCACCAATAAGTTTCTGAGAATGCTTCTGTCTAGTTTTCATGGGAAGATATTTCCTTTTTCACCATAGGCCTGAAAGCGATCCAAATGTCCACATCCAGATACTACAAAAAGAGTGTTTCAAACCTGCTCTATGAAAGGGAATGTTCAACTCTGTGACTTGAATGCAAACATCACAAAGAAGTTTCTGAGAATGCTGCTGTCTCCTTTTTATATGTAATCCCGTTTCCAACGAAATCCTCAAAGCTAGCCAAATATCCACTTGCAGATTCCACGAAAACAGTGTTTCAAAACTGCTCCTTCAAAACGATGGTTCAATCCTGTTAGTTGAGCAAACACATCACAATTAAGTTTCTGAGAATGCTTCCGTCTAGTTTTTATGGGAAGATATTTCCTTTTTCAACATAGGCCTGAAAGCGCTCCAAATGTCCACTTCCAGATACTACAAAAAGAGTGTTTCAAATCTGCTCTATGAATGGGAATGTTCTACTCTGTGACTTGAATGCAACATCCCAAAGAAGTTTCTGAGAATGCTTCTGTCTAGAGTTTATCTGAAGACATACCCGTTTCCAACGAAATCCTCCAAGCTATCCAAATATCCTCTTGCAGATTCTACAAAAAGAGTGTTTCAAAGCTGCTCTTTGCAAAGAAAGGTTCAACTCTGTCAGTAGAGGGCACACATCACGAACAAGTTTCTGAGAATGCTTCTGTCTGGTTTTTATGGGAAGATATTTCCTTTTTCACGTTACGCCTGAAAGCACGCCAAATGTTCACTTATAGACACTACAAAAAGAGTGTTTCAAACCTGCTCTGTGAAAGGGAATGTTCAACACTGTGACTTCAATTGAAACATCCCAAAGAAGTTTCTGAGAATGCTTCTGTCTAGAGTTTATCTGAAGACATTCCCGTTTCCCAAGAAATCCTCAAAGCTATCCAAATATCCTCTTGCAGATTCTACAAAAAGAGTGTTTCAAAACTGGTCTTTGCAAAGAAAGGTTCAACTCTGTCAGTAGAGGGCACACATCACAAACAAGTTTCTGAGAATGCTTCTGTCTAGTTTTTATGGGAAGATATTTCCTTTTTCACCTTAGGCCTGAAAGCAATCCAAATGTTCACTTACAGACACTACAAAAAGAGTGTTTCAAACCTGCTCTGTGAAAGGGAGTGTTCAATTCTGTGACTTGAATGCAAACATCACAAAGTAGTTTCTGACAATGCTGCTGTCTGCTTTTTATACGTATTCCCGTTTCCAACGAAATCCTCCAAGCTGGCCTAATACCCACTTGCATATTCCACAAAGACTGTGTCAAAACTGCTCTCTCAAAAGAAAGGTTCAACTCTGTTTGCTGAGTAGATACATCATGAAAAAAGTTCTGACATTGCTTCTATCTAGTTTTTATTGGAAGATATCTCCTTTTTCACCGTAGACCTGAAAGCGCTCCAAATGTCCACTTCCAGATAGTACAAAAAGAGTGTTTCAAACCTGCTCCTATGAAAGGGAATGTTCAACACTGGGACTTCAATTGAAACATCCCAAAGCAGTTTCTGAGAATGCTTCTGTCTAGAGTTTACATGAAGACATTCCCGTTTCCAACGAAATCCTCAAAGCTATCCAAATATCCTCTTGCAGATTTTACAAAAAGTGTGTTTCAGAACTGCTCTATCAAAACAAAGGTTCAACACTGTCAGTTGAGGGCACACATCACAAATAAGTTTCTGAGAATGCTGCTCTCTGCTTTTTGTATGTAATCCCGTTTCCAACGAAATCCTCCCAGCTAGCCAAATATCCACTTGCAGATTCCGCAAAAAGAGTGTTTCAAAACTGCTCCTTCAAAACGATGGTTTAGTTCTGTTAGTTGAGTACATACATCACAGATAAGTTTCTGAGAATGCTTCTGTCTAGTTTTTATGGGAGGATATTTCCTTTTTCAACACAAGCCTGAATGCGCTCCGAATGGACACTTCCAGATATGACAAAAGGCGTGTTTCAAACCTGCTCTCTCAAAGGGAATGTTCAACTCTGTGACTTCAATGCAAACATCACAAAGAAGTTTCTGAGAATGCTGCTGTCTGCTTTTTACATGTATTCCCGTTTCCAACGAAATCCTCAAAGCTGCCCTAATATCCACTTGCATATTCCAGAAAAAGAGTGTTGCAAAACTGCTCTCTCAAAAGAAAGCTTCAACTCTGTTAGCTGAGTAGATCCATCACATAAAAGTTTCTGACATTGCTTCTATCTAGATTTTCTTGGAAGATATTTCCATTTTCACCGTCGTCCTGAAAGCGCTCCAAATGTCCACTTCCAGGGAATGCAGAAAGAGTGTTTCCAACCTGCTCTATAAAAGGGAATGTTCAACACTGGGACTTCAATCGAAACATCCCAACGAAGTTTCTGAGAATGCTTCTGTCTAGAGTTTATATGAAGCCATTCCCGTTTGCAACGAAATCCTCAAAGCTATCCAAATATCCTCTTGCAGATTTTACAAAAAGAGTGTTTCAAAACTGCTCTATCAAAAGAAAGGTTCAACTCTGTTAGTTGAGGGCACACATCACAAATAAATTTCTGAGAATGCTTCTGTCTAGTTTTTACGGGAAGATATTTCCTTTTTCACCATACGCCTGAAAGCGCTCCAAATGTCCTCATCCAGATACTACACAAAGAGTGTTTCCAACCTGCTCTATGAAAGGGAATGCTCAACTCCTGTGACTTGAATGCAGACATCACAAAGAAGTTTCTGAGAATGCTGCTGTCTCCTTTTTATATGTAATCCCGTTTCCAACGAAATCCTCAAAGCTAGCCAAATATCCACTTGCAGATTCCACGAAAACAGTGTTTCAAAACTGCTCCTTCAAAACGATGGTTCAATCCTGTTAGTTGAGCAAACACATCACAAATAAGTTTCTGAGAATGCTTCCGTCTAGTTTTTATGGGAAGATATTTCCTTTTTCAACATAGGCCTGAAAGCGCTCCAAATGTCCACTTCCAGATACTACAAAAAGAGTGTTTCAAATCTGATTTATGAATGGGAATGTTCTACTCTGTGACTTGCATGCAACATCCCAAAGAAGTTTCTGAGAATGCTTCTGTCTAGAGTTTATCAGAAGACATACCCGTTTCCAACGAAATCCTCAAAGCTATCCAAATATCCTCTTGCAGATTCTACAAAAAGTGTGTTACAAAGCTGCTCTTTGCAAAGAAAGGTTCAACTCTGTCAGTAGAGGGCACACATCACGAACAAGTTTTCTGAGAATGCTTTCTGTCTAGTTTTTATGGGAAGATATTTCCTTTTTCACGTTAGGCCTGAAAGCACGCCAAATGTTCACTTATAGACACTACAAAAAGAGTGTTTCAAACCTGCTCTGTGAAAGGGAATGTTCAACACTGTGACTTCAATTGAAACATCCCAAAGAAGTTTCTGAGAATGCTTCTGTCTAGAGTTTATCTGAAGACATTCCCGTTTCCCAAGAAATCCTCAAAGCTATCCAAATATCCTCTTGCAGATTCTACAAAAAGAGTGTTTCAAAACTGCTCTTTGCAAAGAAAGGTTCAACTCTGTCAGTAGAGGGCACACATCACAAACAAGTTTCTGAGAATGCTTCTGTCTAGTTTTTATGGGAAGATATTTCCTTTTTCACCTTAGGCCTGAAAGCAATCCAAATGTTCACTTACAGACACTACAAAAAGAGTGTTTCAAACCTGCTCTGTGAAAGGGAGTGTTCAATTCTGTGACTTGAATGCAAACATCACAAAGTAGTTTCTGACAATGCTGCTGTCTGCTTTTTATACGTATTCCCGTTTCCAACGAAATCCTCCAAGCTGGCCTAATACCCACTTGCATATTCCACAAAAAGAGTGTTTCAAAACTGCTCTCTCAAAAGAAAGGTTCAACTCTGTTTGCTGAGTAGATACATCATGAAAAAAGTTCTGACATTGCTTCTATCTAGTTTTTATTGGAAGATATCTCCTTTTTCACCGTAGACCTGAAAGCGCTCCAAATGTCCACTTCCAGATAGTACAAAAAGAGTGTTTCAAACCTGCTCTATGAAAGGGAATGTTCAACACTGGGACTTCAATTGAAACATCCCAAAGCAGTTTCTGAGAATGCTTCTGTGTAGAGTTTACATGAAGACATTCCCGTTTCCAACGAAATCCTCAAAGCTATCCAAATATCCTCTTGCAGATTTTACAAAAAGTGTGTTTCAGAACTGCTCTATCAAAACAAAGGTTCAACACTGTCAGTTGAGGGCACACATCACAAATAAGTTTCTGAGAATGCTGCTGTCTGCTTTTTGTATGTAATCCCGTTTCCAACGAAATCCTCCCAGCTAGCCAAATATCCACTTGCAGATTCCGCAAAAAGAGTGTTTCAAAACTGCTCCTTCAAAACGATGGTTTAGTTCTGTTAGTTGAGTACATACATCACAGATAAGTTTCTGAGAATGCTTCTGTCTAGTTTTTATGGGAGGATATTTCCTTTTTCAACACAAGCCTGAATGCGCTCCGAATGGACACTTCCAGATATGACAAAAGGCGTGTTTCAAACCTGCTCTCTCAAAGGGAATGTTCAACTCTGTGACTTCAATGCAAACATCACAAAGAAGTTTCTGAGAATGCTGCTGTCTGCTTTTTACATGTATTCCCGTTTCCAACGAAATCCTCAAAGCTGCCCTAATATCCACTTGCATATTCCACAAAAAGAGTGTTGCAAAACTGCTCTCTCAAAAGAAAGGTTCAACTCTGTTAGCTGAGTAGATCCATCACATAAAAGTTTCTGACATTGCTTCTATCCAGATTTTATTGGAAGATATTTCCATTTTCACCGTCGTCCTGAAAGCGCTCCAATTGTCCACTTCCAGGGAATGCAGAAAGAGTGTTTCCAACCTGCTCTATAAAAGGGAATGTTCAACACTGGGACTTCAATCGAAACATCCCAACGAAGTTTCTGAGAATGCTTCTGTCTAGAGTTTATATGAAGCCATTCCCGTTTGCAACGAAATCCTCAAAGCTATCCAAATATCCTCTTGCAGATTTTACAAAAAGAGTGTTTCAAAACTGCTCTATCAAAAGAAAGGTTCAACTCTGTTAGTTGAGGGCACACATCACAAATAAATTTCTGAGAATGCTTCTGTCTAGTTTTTACGGGAAGATATTTCCTTTTTCACCATACGCCTGAAAGCGCTCCAAATGTCCTCATCCAGATACTACAAAAAGAGTGTTTCCAACCTGCTCTATGAAAGGGAATGCTCAACTCTGTGAATTGAATGCAGACATCACAAAGAAGTTTCTGAGAATGCTGCTGTCTCCTTTTTATATGTAATCCCGTTTCCAACGAAATCCTCAAAGCTAGCCAAATATCCACTTGCAGATTCCATGAAAACAGTGTTTCAAAACTGCTCCTTCAAAACGATGGTTCAATCCTGTTAGTTGAGCAAACACATCACAAATAAGTTTCTGAGAATGCTTCCGTCTAGTTTTTATGGGAAGATATTTCCTTTTTCAACATAGGCCTGAAAGCGCTCCAAATGTCCACTTCCAGATACTACAAAAAGAGTGTTTCAAATCTGCTCTATGAATGGGAATGTTCTACTCTGTGACTTGAATGCAACATCCCAAAGAAGTTTCTGAGAATGCTTCTGTCTAGAGTTTATCTGAAGACATACCCGTTTCCAACGAAATCCTCAAAGCTATCCAAATATCCTCTTGCAGATTCTACAAAAAGAGTGTTTCAAAGCTGCTCTTTGCAAAGAAAGGTTCAACTCTGTCAGTAGAGGGCACACATCACGAACAAGTTTCTGAGAATGCTTCTGTCTAGTTTTTATGGGAAGATATTTCCTTTTTCACGTTAGGCCTGAAAGCACGCCAAATGTTCACTTATAGACACTACAAAAAGAGTGTTTCAAACCTGCTCTGTGAAAGGGAATGTTCAACACTGTGACTTCAATTGAAACATCCCAAAGAAGTTTCTGAGAATGCTTCTGTCTAGAGTTTATCTGAAGACATTCCCGTTTCCCAAGAAATCCTCAAAGCTATCCAAATATCCTCTTGCAGATTCTACAAAAAGAGTGTTTCAAAACTGCTCTTTGCAAAGAAAGGTTCAACTCTGTCAGTAGAGGGCACACATCACAAACAAGTTTCTGAGAATGCTTCTGTCTAGTTTTTATGGGAAGATATTTCCTTTTTCACCATAGGCCTAAAAGCAATCCAAATGTTCACTTACAGACACTACAAAAAGAGTGTTTCAAACCTGCTCTGTGAAAGGGAGTGTTCAATTCTGTGACTTGAATGCAAACATCACAAAGTAGTTTCTGACAATGCTGCTGTCTGCTTTTTATACGTATTCCCGTTTCCAACGAAATCCTCCAAGCTGGCCTAATACCCACTTCCATATTCCACAAAAAGAGTGTTTCAAAACTGCTCTCTCAAAAGAAAGGTTCAACTCTGTTTGCTGAGTAGATACATCATGAAAAAAGTTCTGACATTGCTTCTATCTAGTTTTTATTGGAAGATATCTCCTTTTTCACCGTAGACCTGAAAGCGCTCCAAATGTCCACTTCCAGATAGTACAAAAAGAGTGTTTCAAACCTGCTCTATGAAAGGGAATGTTCAACACTGGGACTTCAATTGAAACATCCCAAAGCAGTTTCTGAGAATGCTTCTGTCTAGAGTTTACATGAAGACATTCCCGTTTCCAACGAAATCCTCAAAGCTATCCAAATATCCTCTTGCAGATTTTACAAAAAGTGTGTTTCAGAACTGCTCTATCAAAACAAAGGTTCAACACTGTCAGTTGAGGGCACACATCACAAATAAGTTTCTGAGAATGCTGCTGTCTGCTTTTTGTATGTAATCCCGTTTCCAACGAAATCCTCCCAGCTAGCCAAATATCCACTTGCAGATTCCGCAAAAAGAGTGTTTCAAAACTGCTCCTTCAAAACGATGGTTTAGTTCTGTTAGTTGAGTACATACATCACAGATAAGTTTCTGAGAATGCTTCTGTCTAGTTTTTATGGGAGGATATTTCCTTTTTCAACACAAGCCTGAATGCGCTCCGAATGGACACTTCCAGATATGACAAAAGGCGTGTTTCAAACCTGCTCTCTCAAAGGGAATGTTCAACTCTGTGACTTCAATGCAAACATCACAAAGAAGTTTCTGAGAATGCTGCTGTCTGCTTTTTACATGTATTCCCGTTTCCAACGAAATCCTCAAAGCTGCCCTAATATCCACTTGCATATTCCACAAAAAGAGTGTTGCAAAACTGCTCTCTCAAAAGAAAGGTTCAACTCTGTTAGCTGAGTAGATCCATCACAGAAAAGTTTCTGACATTGCTTCTATCCAGATTTTATTGGAAGATATTTCCATTTTCACCGTCGTCCTGAAAGCGCTCCAATTGTCCACTTCCAGGGAATGCAGAAAGAGTGTTTCCAACCTGCTCTATAAAAGGGAATGTTGAACACTGGGACTTCAATCGAAACATCCCAACGAAGTTTCTGAGAATGCTTCTGTCTAGAGTTTATATGAAGCCTTCCCGTTTGCAACGAAATCCTCAAAGCTATCCAAATATCCTCTTGCAGATTTTACAAAAAGAGTGTTTCAAAACTGCTCTATCAAAAGAAAGGTTCAACTCTGTTAGTTGAGGGCACACATCACAAATAAACTTCTGAGAATGCTTCTGTCTAGTTTTTACGGGAAGATATTTCCTTTTTCACCATAGGCCTGAAAGAGCTCCAAATGTCCTCATCCAGATACTACAAAAAGAGTGTTTCCAACCTGCTCTATGAAAGGGAATGCTCAACTCTGTGACTTGAATGCAGACATCACAAAGAAGTTTCTGAGAATGCTGCTGTCTCCTTTGTATATGTAATCCCGTTTCCAACGAAATCCTCAAAGCTAGCCAAATATCCACTTGCAGATTCCACGAAAACAGTGTTTCAAAACTGCTCCTTCAAAACGATGGTTCAATCCTGTTAGTTGAGCAAACACATCACAAATAAGTTTCTGAGAATGCTTCCGTCTAGTTTTTATGGGAAGATATTTCCTTTTTCAACATAGGCCTGAAAGCGCTCCAAATGTCCACTTCCAGATACTACAAAAAGAGTGTTTCAAATCTGCTCTATGAATGGGAATGTTCTACTCTGTGACTTGAATGCAACATCCCAAAGAAGTTTCTGAGAATGCTTCTGTCTAGAGTTTATCTGAAGACATACCCGTTTCCAACGAAATCCTCCAAGCTATCCAAATATCCTCTTGCAGATTCTACAAAAAGTGTGTTTCAAAGCTGCTCTTTGCAAAGAAAGGTTCAACTCTGTCAGTAGAGGGCACACATCACGAACAAGTTTCTGAGAATGCTTCTGTCTAGTTTTTATGGGAAGATATTTCCTTTTTCACGTTACGCCTGAAAGCACGCCAAATGTTCACTTATAGACACTACAAAAAGAGTGTTTCAAACCTGCTCTGTGAAAGGGAATGTTCAACACTGTGACTTCAATTGAAACATCCCAAAGAAGTTTCTGAGAATGCTTCTGTCTAGAGTTTATCTGAAGACATTCCCGTTTCCCAAGAAATCCTCAAAGCTATCCAAATATCCTCTTGCAGATTCTACAAAAAGAGTGTTTCAAAACTGCTCTTTGCAAAGAAAGGTTCAACTCTGTCAGTAGAGGGCACACATCACAAACAAGTTTCTGAGAATGCTTCTGTCTAGTTTTTATGGGAAGATATTTCCTTTTTCACCTTAGGCCTGAAAGCAATCCAAATGTTCACTTACAGACACTACAAAAAGAGTGTTTCAAACCTGCTCTGTGAAAGGGAGTGTTCAATTCTGTGACTTGAATGCAAACATCACAAAGTAGTTTCTGACAATGCTGCTGTCTGCTTTTTATACGTATTCCCGTTTCCAACGAAATCCTCCAAGCTGGCCTAATACCCACTTGCATATTCCACAAAAAGAGTGTTTCAAAACTGCTCTCTCAAAAGAAAGGTTCAACTCTGTTTGCTGAGTAGATACATCATGAAAAATGTTCTGACATTGCTTCTATCTAGTTTTTATTGGAAGATATCTCCTTTTTCACCGTAGACCTGAAAGCGCTCCAAATGTCCACTTCCAGATAGTACAAAAAGAGTGTTTCAAACCTGCTCTATGAAAGGGAATGTTCAACACTGGGACTTCAATTGAAACATCCCAAAGCAGTTTCTGAGAATGCTTCTGTCTAGAGTTTACATGAAGACATTCCCGTTTCCAACGAAATCCTCAAAGCTATCCAAATATCCTCTTGCAGATTTTACAAAAAGTGTGTTTCAGAACTGCTCTATCAAAACAAAGGTTCAACACTGTCAGTTGAGGGCACACATCACAAATAAGTTTCTGAGAATGCTGCTGTCTGCTTTTTGTATGTAATCCCGTTTCCAACGAAATCCTCCCAGCTAGCCAAATATCCACTTGCAGATTCCGCAAAAAGAGTGTTTCAAAACTGCTCCTTCAAAACGATGGTTTAGTTCTGTTAGTTGAGTACATACATCACAGATAAGTTTCTGAGAATGCTTCTGTCTAGTTTTTATGGGAGGATATTTCCTTTTTCAACACAAGCCTGAATGCGCTCCGAATGGACACTTCCAGATATGACAAAAGGCGTGTTTCAAACCTGCTCTCTCAAAGGGAATGTTCAACTCTGTGACTTCAATGCAAACATCACAAAGAAGTTTCTGAGAATGCTGCTGTCTGCTTTTTACATGTATTCCCGTTTCCAACGAAATCCTCAAAGCTGCCCTAATATCCACTTGCATATTCCACAAAAAGAGTGTTGCAAAACTGCTCTCTCAAAAGAAAGGTTCAACTCTGTTAGCTGAGTAGATCCATCACATAAAAGTTTCTGACATTGCTTCTATCTAGATTTTCTTGGAAGATATTTCCATTTTCACCGCCGTCCTGAAAGCGCTCCAAATGTCCACTTCCAGGGAATGCAGAAAGAGTGTTTCCAACCTGCTCTATAAAAGGGAATGTTCAACACTGGGACTTCAATCGAAACATCCCAACGAAGTTTCTGAGAATGCTTCTGTCTAGAGTTTATATGAAGCCATTCCCGTTTGCAACGAAATCCTCAAAGCTATCCAAATATCCTCTTGCAGATTTTACAAAAAGAGTGTTTCAAAACTGCTCTATCAAAAGAAAGGTTCAACTCTGTTAGTTGAGGGCACACATCACAAATAAATTTCTGAGAATGCTTCTGTCTAGTTTTTACAGGAAGATATTTCCTTTTTCACCATAGGCCAGAAAGCGCTCCAAATGTCCTCATCCAGATACTACAAAAAGAGTGTTTCCAACCTGCTCTATGAAAGGGAATGCTCAACTCTGTGAATTGAATGCAGACATCACAAAGAAGTTTCTGAGAATGCTGCTGTCTCCTTTGTATATGTAATCCCGTTTCCAACGAAATCCTCAAAGCTAGCCAAATATCCACTTGCAGATTCTACGAAAACAGTGTTTCAAAACTGCTCCTTCAAAACGATGGTTCAATCCTGTTAGTTGAGCAAACACATCACAAATAAGTTTCTGAGAATGCTTCCGTCTAGTTTTTATGGGAAGATATTTCCTTTTTCAACATAGGCCTGAAAGCGCTCCAAATGTCCACTTCCAGACACTACAAAAAGAGTGTTTCAAATCTGCTCTATGAATGGGAATGTTCTACTCTGTGACTTGAATGCAACATCCCAAAGAAGTTTCTGAGAATGCTTCTGTCTAGAGTTTATCTGAAGACATACCCGTTTCCAACGAAATCCTCAAAGCTATCCAAATATCCTCTTGCAGATTCTACAAAAAGTGTGTTTCAAAGCTGCTCTTTGCAAAGAAAGGTTCAACTCTGTCAGTAGAGGGCACACATCACGAACAAGTTTCTGAGAATGCTTCTGTCTAGTTTTTATGGGAAGATATTTCCTTTTTCACGTTAGGCCTGAAAGCACGCCAAATGTTCACTTATAGACACTACAAAAAGAGTGTTTCAAACCTGCTCTGTGAAAGGGAATGTTCAACACTGTGACTTCAATTGAAACATCCCAAAGAAGTTTCTGAGAATGATTCTGTCTAGAGTTTATCTGAAGACATTCCCGTTTCCCAAGAAATCCTCAAAGCTATCCAAATATCCTCTTGCAGATTCTACAAAAAGAGTGTTTCAAAACTGCTCTTTGCAAAGAAAGGTTCAACTCTGTCAGTAGAGGGCACACATCAAAAACAAGTTTCTGAGAATGCTTCTGTCTAGTTTTTATGGGAAGATATTTCCTTTTTCACCTTAGGCCTGAAAGCAATCCAAATGTTCACTTACAGACACTACAAAAAGAGTGTTTCAAACCTGCTCTGTGAAAGGGAGTGTTCAATTCTGTGACTTGAATGCAAACATCACAAAGTAGTTTCTGACAATGCTGCTGTCTGCTTTTTATACGTATTCCCGTTTCCAACGAAATCCTCCAAGCTGGCCTAATACCCACTTGCATATTCCACAGAAAGAGTGTTTCGAAACTGCTCTCTCAAAAGAAAGGTTCAACTCTGTTTGCTGAGTAGATACATCATGAAAAAAGTTCTGACATTGCTTCTATCTAGTTTTTATTGGAAGATATCTCCTTTTTCACCGTAGACCTGAAAGCGCTCCAAATGTCCACTTCCAGATAGTACAAAAAGAGTGTTTCAAACCTGCTCTATGAATGGGAATGTTCAACACTGGGACTTCAATTGAAACATCCCAAAGCAGTTTCTGAGAATGCTTCTGTCTAGAGTTTACATGAAGACATTCCCGTTTCCAACGAAATCCTCAAAGCTATCCAAATATCCTCTTGCAGATTTTACAAAAAGTGTGTTTCAGAACTGCTCTATCAAAACAAAGGTTCAACACTGTCAGTTGAGGGCACACATCACAAATAAGTTTCTGAGAATGCTGCTGTCTGCTTTTTGTATGTAATCCCGTTTCCAACGAAATCCTCCCAGCTAGCCAAATATCCACTTGCAGATTCCGCAAAAAGAGTGTTTCAAAACTGCTCCTTCAAAACGATGGTTTAGTTCTGTTAGTTGAGTACATACATCACAGATAAGTTTCTGAGAATGCTTCTGTCTAGTTTTTATGGGAGGATATTTCCTTTTTCAACACAAGCCTGAATGCGCTCCGAATGGACACTTCCAGATATGACAAAAGGCGTGTTTCAAACCTGCTCTCTCAAAGGGAATGTTCAACTCTGTGACTTCAATGCAAACATCACAAAGAAGTTTCTGAGAATGCTGCTGTCTGCTTTTTACATGTATTCCCGTTTCCAACGAAATCCTCAAAGCTGCCCTAATATCCACTTGCATATTCCACAAAAAGAGTGTTGCAAAACTGCTCTCTCAAAAGAAAGGTTCAACTCTGTTAGCTGAGTAGATCCATCACAGAAAAGTTTCTGACGTTGCTTCTATCTAGATTTTCTTGGAAGATATTTCCATTTTCACCGTCGTCCTGAAAGCGCTCCAAATGTCCACTTCCAGGGAATGCAGAAAGAGTGTTTCCAACCTGCTCTATAAAAGGGAATGTTCAACACTGGGACTTCAATCGAAACATCCCAACGAAGTTTCTGAGAATGCTTCTGTCTAGAGTTTATATGAAGCCATTCCCGTTTGCAACGAAATCTTCAAAGCTATCCAAATATCCTCTTGCAGATTTTACAAAAAGAGTGTTTCAAAACTGCTCTATCAAAAGAAAGGTTCAACTCTGTTAGTTGAGGGCACACATCACAAGTAAATTTTTGAGAATGCTTCTGTCTAGTTTTTACGGGAAGATATTTCCTTTTTCACCATACGCCTGAAAGCGCTCCAAATGTCCTCATCCAGATACTACAAAAAGACTGTTTCAAACCTGCTCTATGAAAGGGAATGCTCAACTCTTTGACTTGAATGCAGACATCACAAAATAGTTTCTAAGAATGCTGCTGTCTCCTTTTTATATATAATCCCGTTTCCAACGAAATCCTCAAAGCTAGCCAAATATCCACTTGCAGATTCCACAAAAACAGTGTTTCAAAACTGCTCCTTCAAAATGATGGTTCAATTCTGTTAGTTGAGTAAACACGTCAGAAGTAAGTTTCTGAGAATGCTTCTGTCTAGTTTTTATGGGAAGATATTTCCTTTTTCACGTTAGGCCTGAAAGCACGCCAAATGTTCACTTATAGACACTACAAAAAGAGTGTTTCAAACTTGCTCTGTGAAAGGGAATGTTCAAATCTGTGACTTCAAAGCAAACATCACGAAGAAGTTTCTGAGAATGCTGCTGTCTGCTTTTTATATGTATTCCCGTTTCCAACTAAATCCTCAAAGCTGCCCTAATATCCACTTGAATATTCCACGAAAAGAGTGTTGCAAAACTGCTCTCTCAAAATAAAGGTTCAACTCTGTTAGCTGAGTAGATACATGACATGAAAGTTTCTGACATTGCTTCTATCTAGATTTTATTGGAAGATATTTCCATTTTCACCGTCGTCCTGAAAGCGCTCCAAATGTCCACTTCCAGATACTACAAAAACAGTGTTTCAAACCTGCTCTATAAAAGGGAATGTTCAGCACTGTGACTTCAATCGAAACATCCCAACGAAGTTTCTGAGAATGCTGCTGTCTGCTTTTTATACATATTCCCGTTTCCAACGAAATCCTCCAAGCTGGCCTAATACCCACTTGCATATTCCACAAAAAGAGTGTTTCAAAACTGCTCTCTCAAAAGAAAGGTTCAACTCTCTTTGCTGAGTAGATACATCATGAAAAAAGTTCTGACATTGCTTCTATCTAGTTTTTATTGGAAGATATCTCCTTTTTCACCGTAGACCTGAAAGCGCTCCAAATGTCCACTTCCAGATAGTACAAAAAGAGTGTTTCAAACCTGCTCTATGAATGGGAATGTTCAACACTGGGACTTCAATTGAAACATCCCAAAGCAGTTTCTGAGAATGCTTCTGTCTAGAGTTTACATGAAGACATTCCCGTTTCCAACGAAATCCTCAAAGCTATCCAAATATCCTCTTGCAGATTTTACAAAAAGTGTGTTTCAGAACTGCTCTATCAAAACAAAGGTTCAACACTGTCAGTTGAGGGCACACATCACAAATAAGTTTCTGAGAATGCTTCTGTCTAGTTTTCATGGGAAGATATTTCCTTTTTCACCATAGGCCTGAAAGCGATCCAAATGTCCACATCCAGATACTACAAAAAGAGTGTTTCAAACCTGCTCTATGAAAGGGAATGTTCAACTCTGTGACTTGAATGCAAACATCACAAAGAAGTTTCTGAGAATGCTGCTGTCTCCTTTTTATATGTAATCCCGTTTCCAACGAAATCCTCAAAGCTAGCCAAATATCCACTTGCAGATTCCACGAAAACAGTGTTTCAAAACTGCTCCTTCAAAACGATGGTTCAATTCTGTTAGTTGAGCAAACACATCACAAGTAAGTTTCTGAGAATGCTTCCGTCTAGTTTTTATGGGAAGATATTTCCTTTTTCAACATAGGCCTGAAAGCGCTCCAAATGTCCACTTCCAGATACTACAAAAAGAGTGTTTCAAATCTGCTCTATGAATGGGAATGTTCTACTCTGTGACTTGAATGCAACATCCCAAAGAAGTTTCTGAGAATGCTTCTGTCTAGAGTTTATCTGAAGACATCCCCGTTTCCAACGAAATCCTCCAAGCTATCCAAATATCCTCTTGCAGATTCTACAAAAAGAGTGTTTCAAAGCTGCTCTTTGCAAAGAAAGGTTCAACTCTGTCAGTAGAGGGCACACATCACGAACAAGTTTCTGAGAATGCTTCTGTCTAGTTTTTATGGGAAGATATTTCCTTTTTCACGTTAGGCCTGAAAGCACGCCAAATGTTCACTTATAGACACTACAAAAAGAGTGTTTCAAACCTGCTCTGTGAAAGGGAATGTTCAACACTGTGACTTCAATTGAAACATCCCAAAGAAGTTTCTGAGAATGCTTCTGTCTAGAGTTTATCTGAAGACATTCCCGTTTCCCAGGAAATCCTCAAAGCTATCCAAATATCCTCTTGCAGATTCTACAAAAAGAGTGTTTCAAAACTGCTCTTTGCAAAGAAAGGTTTAACTCTGTCAGTAGAGGGCACACATCACAAACAAGTTTACTGAGAATGCTTCTGTCTAGTTTTTATGGGAAGATATTTCCTTTTTCACCTTAGGCCTGAAAGCAATCCAAATGTTCACTTACAGACACTACAAAAAGAGTGTTTCAAACCTGCTCTGTGAAAGGGAGTGTTCAATTCTATGACTTGAATGCAAACATCACAAAGTAGTTTCTGACAATGCTGCTGTCTGCTTTTTATACGTATTCCCGTTTCCAACGAAATCCTCCAAGCTGGCCTAATACCCACTTGCATATTCCACAAAAAGAGTGTTTCAAAACTGCTCTCTCAAAAGAAAGGTTCAACTCTGTTAGCTGAGTAGATATATCATGAAAAAAGTTCTGACATTGCTTCTATCTAGTTTTTATTGGAAGATATCTCCTTTTTCACCGTAGACCTGAAAGCGCTCCAAATGTCCACTTCCAGATAGTACAAAAAGAGTGTTTCAAACCTGCTCTATGAATGGGAATGTTCAACACTGGGACTTCAATTGAAACATCCCAAAGCAGTTTCTGAGAATGCTTCTGTGTAGAGTTTACATGAAGACATTCCCGTTTCCAACGAAATCCTCAAAGCTATCCAAATATCCTCTTGCAGATTTTACAAAAAGTGTGTTTCAGAACTGCTCTATCAAAACAAAGGTTCAACACTGTCAGTTGAGGGCACACATCACAAATAAGTTTCTGAGAATGCTGCTGTCTGCTTTTTGTATGTAATCCCGTTTCCAACGAAATCCTCCCAGCTAGCCAAATATCCACTTGCAGATTCCGCAAAAAGAGTGTTTCAAAACTGCTCCTTCAAAACGATGGTTTAGTTCTGTTAGTTGAGTACATACATCACAGATAAGTTTCTGAGAATGCTTCTGTCTAGTTTTTATGGGAGGATATTTCCTTTTTCAACACAAGCCTGAATGCGCTCCGAATGGACACTTCCAGATATGACAAAAGGCGTGTTTCAAACCTGCTCTCTCAAAGGGAATGTTCAACTCTGTGACTTCAATGCAAACATCACAAAGAAGTTTCTGAGAATGCTGCTGTCTGCTTTTTACATGTATTCCCGTTTCCAACGAAATCCTCAAAGCTGCCCTAATATCCACTTGCATATTCCACAAAAAGAGTGTTGCAAAACTGCTCTCTCAAAAGAAAGGTTCAACTCTGTTAGCTGAGTAGATCCATCACAGAAAAGTTTCTGACGTTGCTTCTATCTAGATTTTCTTGGAAGATATTTCCATTTTCACCGTCGTCCTGAAAGCGCTCCAAATGTCCACTTCCAGGGAATGCAGAAAGAGTGTTTCCAACCTGCTCTATAAAAGGGAATGTTCAACACTGGGACTTCAATCGAAACATCCCAACGAAGTTTCTGAGAATGCTTCTGTCTAGAGTTTATATGAAGCCATTCCCGTTTGCAACGAAATCCTCAAAGCTATCCAAATATCCTCTTGCAGATTTTACAAAAAGAGTGTTTCAAAACTGCTCTATCAAAAGAAAGGTTCAACTCTGTTAGTTGAGGGCACACATCACAAATAAATTTCTGAGAATCTTCTGTCTAGTTTTTACGGGAAGATATTTCCTTTTTCACCATACGCCTGAAAGCGCTCCAAATGTCCTCATCCAGATACTACAAAAAGAGTGTTTCCAACCTGCTCTATGAAAGGGAATGCTCAACTCTGTGACTTGAATGCAGACATCACAAAGAAGTTTCTGAGAATGCTGCTGTCTCCTTTTTATATGTAATCCCGTTTCCAACGAAATCCTCAAAGCTAGCCAAATATCCACTTGCAGATTCCACGAAAACAGTGTTTCAAAACTGCTCCTTCAAAACGATGGTTCAATTCTGTTAGTTGAGCAAACACATCACAAGTAAGTTTCTGAGAATGCTTCCGTCTAGTTTTTATGGGAAGATATTTCCTTTTTCAACATAGGCCTGAAAGCGCTCCAAATGTCCACTTCCAGATACTACAAAAAGAGTGTTTCAAATCTGCTCTATGAATGGGAATGTTCTACTCTGTGACTTGAATGCAACATCCCAAAGAAGTTTCTGAGAATGCTTCTGTCTAGAGTTTATCTGAAGACATACCCGTTTCCAACGAAATCCTCCAAGCTATCCAAATATCCTCTTGCAGATTCTACAAAAAGTGTGTTTCAAAGCTGCTCTTTGCAAAGAAAGGTTCAACTCTGTCAGTAGAGGGCACACATCACGAACAAGTTTCTGAGAATGCTTCTGTCTAGTTTTTATGGGAAGATATTTCCTTTTTCACGTTAGGCCTGAAAGCACGCCAAATGTTCACTTATAGACACTACAAAAAGAGTGTTTCAAACCTGCTCTGTGAAAGGGAATGTTCAACACTGTGACTTCAATTGAAACATCCCAAAGAAGTTTCTGAGAATGCTTCTGTCTAGAGTTTATCTGAAGACATTCCCGTTTCCCAAGAAATCCTCAAAGCTATCCAAATATCCTCTTGCAGATTCTACAAAAAGAGTGTTTCAAAACTGCTCTTTGCAAAGAAAGGTTCAACTCTGTCAGTAGAGGGCACACATCACAAACAAGTTTCTGAGAATGCTTCTGTCTAGTTTTTATGGGAAGATATTTCCTTTTTCACCTTAGGCCTGAAAGCAATCCAAATGTTCACTTACAGACACTACAAAAAGAGTGTTTCAAACCTGCTCTGTGAAAGGGAGTGTTCAATTCTGTGACTTGAATGCAAACATCACAAAGTAGTTTCTGACAATGCTGCTGTCTGCTTTTTATACGTATTCCCGTTTCCAACGAAATCCTCCAAGCTGGCCTAATACCCACTTGCATATTCCACAAAAGGAGTGTTTCAAAACTGCTCTCTCAAAAGAAAGGTTCAACTCTGTTTGCTGAGTAGATACATCATGAAAAAAGTTCTGACATTGCTTCTATCTAGTTTTTATTGGAAGATATCTCCTTTTTCACCGTAGACCTGAAAGCGCTCCAAATGTCCACTTCCAGATAGTACAAAAAGAGTGTTTCAAACCTGCTCTATGAATGGGAATGTTCAACACTGGGACTTCAATTGAAACATCCCAAAGCAGTTTCTGAGAATGCTTCTGTCTAGAGTTTACATGAAGACATTCCCGTTTCCAACGAAATCCTCAAAGCTATCCAAATATCCTCTTGCAGATTTTACAAAAAGTGTGTTTCAGAACTGCTCTATCAAAACAAAGGTTCAACACTGTCAGTTGAGGGCACACATCACAAATAAGTTTCTGAGAATGCTGCTGTCTGCTTTTTGTATGTAATCCCGTTTCCAACGAAATCCTCCCAGCTAGCCAAATATCCACTTGCAGATTCCGCAAAAAGAGTGTTTCAAAACTGCTCCTTCAAAACGATGGTTTAGTTCTGTTAGTTGAGTACATACATCACAGATAAGTTTCTGAGAATGCTTCTGTCTAGTTTTTATGGGAGGATATTTCCTTTTTCAACACAAGCCTGAATGCGCTCCGAATGGACACTTCCAGATATGACAAAAGGCGTGTTTCAAACCTGCTCTCTCAAAGGGAATGTTCAACTCTGTGACTTCAATGCAAACATCACAAAGAAGTTTCTGAGAATGCTGCTGTCTGCTTTTTACATGTATTCCCGTTTCCAACGAAATCCTCAAAGCTGCCCTAATATCCACTTGCATATTCCACAAAAAGAGTGTTGCAAAACTGCTCTCTCAAAAGAAAGGTTCAACTCTGTTAGCTGAGTAGATCCATCACATAAAAGTTTCTGACGTTGCTTCTATCTAGATTTTCTTGGAAGATATTTCCATTTTCACCGTCGTCCTGAAAGCGCTCCAAATGTCCACTTCCAGGGAATGCAGAAAGAGTGTTTCCAACCTGCTCTATAAAAGGGAATGTTCAACACTGGGACTTCAATCGAAACATCCCAACGAAGTTTCTGAGAATGCTTCTGTCTAGAGTTTATATGAAGCCATTCCCGTTTGCAACGAAATCCTCAAAGCTATCCAAATATCCTCTTGCAGATTTTACAAAAAGAGTGTTTCAAAACTGCTCTATCAAAAGAAAGGTTCAACTCTGTTAGTTGAGGGCACACATCACAAATAAACTTCTGAGAATGCTTCTGTCTAGTTTTTACGGGAAGATATTTCCTTTTTCACCATAGGCCTGAAAGCGCTCCAAATGTCCTCATCCAGATACTACAAAAAGAGTGTTTCCAACCTGCTCTATGAAAGGGAATGCTCAACTCTGTGAATTGAATGCAGACATCACAAAGAAGTTTCTGAGAATGCTGCTGTCTCCTTTTTATATGTAATCCCGTTTCCAACGAAATCCTCAAAGCTAGCCAAATATCCACTTGCAGATTCCACGAAAACAGTGTTTCAAAACTGCTCCTTCAAAACGATGGTTCAATCCTGTTAGTTGAGCAAACACATCACAAATAAGTTTCTGAGAATGCTTCCGTCTAGTTTTTATGGGAAGATATTTCCTTTTTCAACATAGGCCTGAAAGCGCTCCAAATGTCCACTTCCAGATACTACAAAAAGAGTGTTTCAAATCTGCTCTATGAATGGGAATGTTCTACTCTGTGACTTGAATGCAACATCCCAAAGAAGTTTGCTGAGAATGCTTCTGTCTAGAGTTTATCTGAAGACATACCCGTTTCCAACGAAATCCTCAAAGCTATCCAAATATCCTCTTGCAGATTCTACAAAAAGAGTGTTTCAAAGCTGCTCTTTGCAAAGAAAGGTTCAACTCTGTCAGTAGAGGGCACACATCACGAACAAGTTTCTGAGAATGCTTCTGTCTCGTTTTTATGGGAAGATATTTCCTTTTTCACGTTACGCCTGAAAGCACGCCAAATGTTCACTTATAGACACTACAAAAAGAGTGTTTCAAACCTGCTCTGTGAAAGGGAATGTTCAACACTGTGACTTCAATTGAAATATCCCAAAGAAGTTTCTGAGAATGCTTCTGTCTAGAGTTTATCTGAAGACATTCCCGTTTCCCAAGAAATCCTCAAAGCTATCCAAATATCCTCTTGCAGATTCTACAAAAAGAGTGTTTCAAAACTGGTCTTTGCAAAGAAAGGTTCAACTCTGTCAGTAGAGGGCACACATCACAAACAAGATTCTGAGAATGCTTCTGTCTAGTTTTTATGGGAAGATATTTCCTTTTTCACCTTAGGCCTGAAAGCAATCCATATGTTCACTTACAGACACTACAAAAAGAGTGTTTCAAACCTGCTCTGTGAAAGGGAGTGTTCAATTCTGTGACTTGAATGCAAACATCACAAAGTAGTTTCTGACAATGCTGCTGTCTGCTTTTTATACGTATTCCCGTTTCCAACGAAATCCTCCAAGCTGGCCTAATACCCACTTGCATATTCCACAAAAAGAGTGTTTCAAAACTGCTCTCTCAAAAGAAAGGTTCAACTCTGTTTGCTGAGTAGATACATCATGAAAAAAGTTCTGACATTGCTTCTATCTAGTTTTTATTGGAAGATATCTCCTTTTTCACCGTAGACCTGAAAGCGCTCCAAATGTCCACTTCCAGATAGTACAAAAAGAGTGTTTCAAACCTGCTCTATGAATGGGAATGTTCAACACTGGGACTTCAATTGAAACATCCCAAAGCAGTTTCTGAGAATGCTTCTGTCTAGAGTTTACATGAAGACATTCCCGTTTCCAACGAAATCCTCAAAGCTATCCAAATATCCTCTTGCAGATTTTACAAAAAGTGTGTTTCAGAACTGCTCTATCAAAACAAAGGTTCAACACTGTCAGTTGAGGGCACACATCACAAATAAGTTTCTGAGAATGCTGCTGTCTGCTTTTTGTATGTAATCCCGTTTCCAACGAAATCCTCCCAGCTAGCCAAATATCCACTTGCAGATTCCGCAAAAAGAGTGTTTCAAAACTGCTCCTTCAAAACGATGGTTTAGTTCTGTTAGTTGAGTACATACATCACAGATAAGTTTCTGAGAATGCTTCTGTCTAGTTTTTATGGGAGGATATTTCCTTTTTCAACACAAGCCTGAATGCGCTCCGAATGGACACTTCCAGATATGACAAAAGGCGTGTTTCAAACCTGCTCTCTCAAAGGGAATGTTCAACTCTGTGACTTCAATGCAAACATCACAAAGAAGTTTCTGAGAATGCTGCTGTCTGCTTTTTACATGTATTCCCGTTTCCAACGAAATCCTCAAAGCTGCCCTAATATCCACTTGCATATTCCACAAAAAGAGTGTTGCAAAACTGCTCTCTCAAAAGAAAGGTTCAACTCTGTTAGCTGAGTAGATCCATCACAGAAAAGTTTCTGACGTTGCTTCTATCCAGATTTTATTGGAAGATATTTCCATTTTCACCGTCGTCCTGAAAGCGCTCCAATTGTCCACTTCCAGGGAATGCAGAAAGAGTGTTTCCAACCTGCTCTATAAAAGGGAATGTTCAACACTGGGACTTCAATCGAAACATCCCGACGAAGTTTCTGAGAATGCTTCTGTCTAGAGTTTATATGAAGCCATTCCCGTTTGCAACGAAATCCTCAAAGCTATCCAAATATCCTCTTGCAGATTTTACAAAATGAGTGTTTCAAAACTGCTCTATCAAAAGAAAGTTTCAACTCTGTTAGTTGAAGGCACACATCACAAATAAACTTCTGAGAATGCTTCTGTCTAGTTTTTACGGGAAGATATTTCCTTTTTCACCATACGCCTGAAAGCGCTCCAAATGTCCTCATCCAGATACTACAAAAAGAGTGTTTCCAACCTGCTCTATGAAAGGGAATGCTCAACTCTGTGACTTGAATGCAGACATCACAAAGAAGTTTCTGAGAATGCTGCTGTCTCCTTTTTATATGTAATCCCGTTTCCAACGAAATCCTCAAAGCTAGCCAAATATCCACTTGCAGATTCCACGAAAACAGTGTTTCAAAACTGCTCCTTCAAAACGATGGTTCAATTCTGTTAGTTGAGCAAACACATCACAAGTAAGTTTCTGAGAATGCTTCCGTCTAGTTTTTATGGGAAGATATTTCCTTTTTCAACATAGGCCTGAAAGCGCTCCAAATGTCCACTTCCAGATACTACAAAAAGAGTGTTTCAAATCTGCTCTATGAATGGGAATGTTCTACTCTGTGACTTGAATGCAACATCCCAAAGAAGTTTCTGAGAATGCTTCTGTCTAGAGTTTATCTGAAGACATACCCGTTTCCAACGAAATCCTCAAAGCTATCCACATATCCTCTTGCAGATTCTACAAAAAGAGTGTTTCAAAGCTGCTCTTTGCAAAGAAAGGTTCAACTCTGTCAGTAGAGGGCACACATCACGAACAAGTTTCTGAGAATGCTTCTGTCTAGTTTTTATGGGAAGATATTTCCTTTTTCACGTTAGGCCTGAAAGCACGCCAAATGTTCACTTACAGACACTACAAAAAGAGTGTTTCAAACCTGCTCTGTGAAAGGGAATGTTCAACACTGTGACTTCAATTGAAACATCCCAAAGAAGTTTCTGAGAATGCTTCTGTCTAGAGTTTATCTGAAGACATTCCCGTTTCCCAAGAAATCCTCAAAGCTATCCAAATATCCTCTTGCAGATTCTACAAAAAGAGTGTTTCAAAACTGCTCTTTGCAAAGAAAGGTTCAACTCTGTCAGTAGAGGGCACACATCACAAACAAGTTTCTGAGAATGCTTCTGTCTAGTTTTTATGGGAAGATATTTCCTTTTTCACCTTAGGCCTGAAAGCAATCCAAATGTTCACTTACAGACACTACAAAAAGAGTGTTTCAAACCTGCTCTGTGAAAGGGAGTGTTCAATTCTGTGACTTGAATGCAAACATCACAAAGTAGTTTCTGACAATGCTGCTGTCTGCTTTTTATACGTATTCCCGTTTCCAACGAAATCCTCCAAGCTGGCCTAATACCCACTTGCATATTCCACAAAAAGAGTGTTTCAAAACTGCTCTCTCAAAAGAAAGGTTCAACTCTGTTTGCTGAGTAGATACATCATGAAAAAAGTTCTGACATTGCTTCTATCTAGTTTTTATTGGAAGATATCTCCTTTTTCACCGTAGACCTGAAAGCGCTCCAAATGTCCACTTCCAGATAGTACAAAAAGAGTGTTTCAAACCTGCTCTATGAAAGGGAATGTTCAACACTGGGACTTCAATTGAAACATCCCAAAGCAGTTTGCTGAGAATGCTTCTGTCCAGAAGTTTACATGAAGACATTCCCGTTTCCAACGAAATCCTCAAAGCTATCCAAATATCCTCTTGCAGATTTTACAAAAAGTGTGTTTCAGAACTGCTCTATCAAAACAAAGGTTCAACACTGTCAGTTGAGGGCACACATCGCAAATAAGTTTCTGAGAATGCTTCTGTCTAGTTTTCATGGGAAGATATTTCCTTTTTCACCATAGGCCTGAAAGCGATCCAAATGTCCACATCCAGATACTACAAAAAGAGTGTTTCAAACCTGCTCTATGAAAGGGAATGTTCAACTCTGTGACTTGAATGCAAACATCACAAAGAAGTTTCTGAGAATGCTGCTGTCTCCTTTTTATATGTAATCCCGTTTCCAACGAAATCCTCAAAGCTAGCCAAATATCCACTTGCAGATTCCACGAAAACAGTGTTTCAAAACTGCTCCTTCAAAACGATGGTTCAATTCTGTTAGTTGAGCAAACACATCACAAGTAAGTTTCTGAGAATGCTTCCGTCTAGTTTTTATGGGAAGATATTTCCTTTTTCAACATAGGCCTGAAAGCGCTCCAAATGTCCACTTCCAGATACTACAAAAAGAGTGTTTCAAATCTGCTCTATGAATGGGAATGTTCTACTCTGTGACTTGAATGCAACATCCCAAAGAAGTTTCTGAGAATGCTTCTGTCTAGAGTTTATCTGAAGACATACCCGTTTCCAACGAAATCCTCCAAGCTATCCAAATATCCTCTTGCAGATTCTACAAAAAGAGTGTTTCAAAGCTGCTCTTTGCAAAGAAAGGTTCAACTCTGTCAGTAGAGGGGACACATCAAGAACAAGTTTCTGAGAATACTTCTGTCTAGTTTTTATGGGAAGATATTTCCTTTTTCACGTTAGGCCTGAAAGCACGCCAAATGTTCACTTATAGACACTACAAAAAGAGTGTTTCAAACCTGCTCTGTGAAAGGGAATGTTCAACACTGTGACTTCAATTGAAACATCCCAAAGAAGTTTCTGAGAATGCTTCTGTCTAGAGTTTATCTGAAGACATTCCCGTTTCCAACGAAATCCTCAAAGCTATCCATATATCCTCTTGCAGATTCTACAAAAAGAGTGTTTCAAAACTGCTCTTTGCAAAGAAAGGTTCAACTCTGTCAGTAGAGGGCACACATCACGAACAAGTTTCTGAGAATGCTTCTGTCTAGTTTTTATGGGAAGATATTTCCTTTTTCACCTTACGCCTGAAAGCAATCCAAATGTTCACTTACAGACACTACAAAAAGAGTGTTTCAAACCTGCTCTGTGAAAGGGAGTGTTCAATTCTGTGACTTGAATGCAAACATCACAAAGTAGTTTCTGACAATTCTGCTGTCTGCTTTTTATACGTATTCCCGTTTCCAACGAAATCCTCCAAGCTGGCCTAATACCCACTTGCATATTCCACAAAAAGAGTGTTTCAAAACTGCTCTCTCAAAAGAAAGGTTCAACTCTGTTTGCTGAGTAGATACATCATGAAAAAAGTTCTGACATTGCTTCTATCTAGTTTTTATTGGAAGATATCTCCTTTTTCACCGTAGACCTGAAAGCGCTCCAAATGTCCACTTCCAGATATTACAAAAAGAGTGTTTCAAACCTGCTCTATGAATGGGAATGTTCAACACTGGGACTTCAATTGAAACATCCCAAAGCAGTTTCTGAGAATGCTTCTGTCTAGAGTTTACATGAAGACATTCCCGTTTCCAACGAAATCCTCAAAGCTATCCAAATATCCTCTTGCAGATTTTACAAAAAGTGTGTTTCAGAACTGCTCTATCAAAACAAAGGTTCAACACTGTCAGTTGAGGGCACACATCACAAATAAGTTTCTGAGAATGCTGCTGTCTGCTTTTTGTATGTAATCCCGTTTCCAACGAAATCCTCCCAGCTAGCCAAATATCCACTTGCAGATTCCGCAAAAAGAGTGTTTCAAAACTGCTCCTTCAAAACGATGGTTTAGTTCTGTTAGTTGAGTACATACATCACAGATAAGTTTCTGAGAATGCTTCTGTCTAGTTTTTATGGGAGGATATTTCCTTTTTCAACACAAGCCTGAATGCGCTCCGAATGGACACTTCCAGATATGACAAAAGGCGTGTTTCAAACCTGCTCTCTCAAAGGGAATGTTCAACTCTGTGACTTCAATGCAAACATCACAAAGAAGTTTCTGAGAATGCTGCTGTCTGCTTTTTACATGTATTCCCGTTTCCAACGAAATCCTCAAAGCTGCCCTAATATCCACTTGCATATTCCACAAAAAGAGTGTTGCAAAACTGCTCTCTCAAAAGAAAGGTTCAACTCTGTTAGCTGAGTAGATCCATCACATAAAAGTTTCTGACATTGCTTCTATCTAGATTTTCTTGGAAGATATTTCCATTTTCACCGTCGTCCTGAAAGCGCTCCAAATGTCCACTTCCAGGGAATGCAGAAAGAGTGTTTCCAACCTGCTCTATAAAAGGGAATGTTCAACACTGGGACTTCAATCGAAACATCCCAACGAAGTTTCTGAGAATGCTTCTGTCTAGAGTTTATATGAAGCCATTCCCGTTTGCAACGAAATCCTCAAAGCTATCCAAATATCCTCTTGCAGATTTTACAAAAAGAGTGTTTCAAAACTGCTCTATCAAAAGAAAGGTTCAACTCTGTTAGGTGAGGGCACACATCACAAATAAATTTCTGAGAATGCTTCTGTCTAGTTTTTACGGGAAGATATTTCCTTTTTCACCATACGCCTGAAAGCGCTCCAAATGTCCTCATCCAGATACTACAAAAAGAGTGTTTCCAACCTGCTCTATGAAAGGGAATGCTCAACTCTGTGACTTGAATGCAGACATCACAAAGAAGTTTCTGAGAATGCTGCTGTCTCCTTTTTATATGTAATCCCGTTTCCAACGAAATCCTCAAAGCTAGCCAAATATCCACTTGCAGATTCCACGAAAACAGTGTTTCAAAACTGCTCCTTCCAAACGATGGTTCAATCCTGTTAGTTGAGCAAACACATCACAAATAAGTTTCTGAGAACGCTTCCGTCTAGTTTTTATGGGAAGATATTTCCTTTTTCAACATAGGCCTGAAAGCGCTCCAAATGTCCACTTCCAGATACTACAAAAAGAGTGTTTCAAATCTGCTCTATGAATGGGAATGTTCTACTCTGTGACTTGAATGCAACATCCCAAAGAAGTTTCTGAGAATGCTTCTGTCTAGAGTTTATCTGAAGACATACCCGTTTCCAACGAAATCCTCAAATCTATCCAAATATCCTCTTGCAGATTCTACAGAAAGAGTGTTTCAAAGCTGCTCTTTGCAAAGAAAGGTTCAACTCTGTCAGTAGAGGGCACACATCACGAACAAGTTTCTGAGAATGCTTCTGTCTAGTTTTTATGGGAAGATATTTCCTTTTTCACGTTAGGCCTGAAAGCACGCCAAATGTTCACTTATAGACACTACAAAAAGAGTGTTTCAAACCTGCTCTGTGAAAGGGAATGTTCAACACTGTGACTTCAATTGAAACATCCCAAAGAAGTTTCTGAGAATGCTTCTGTCTAGAGTTTATCTGAAGACATTCCCGTTTCCCAAGAAATCCTCAAAGCTATCCAAATATCCTCTTGCAGATTCTACAAAAAGACTGTTTCAAAACTGCTCTTTGCAAAGAAAGGTTCAACTCTGTCAGTAGAGGGCACACATCACAAACAAGTTTGCTGAGAATGCTTCTGTCTAGTTTTTATGGGAAGATATTTCCTTTTTCACCTTAGGCCTGAAAGCAATCCAAATGTTCACTTACAGACACTACAAAAAGAGTGTTTCAAACCTGCTCTGTGAAAGGGAGTGTTCAATTCTGTGACTTGATTGCAAACATCACAAAGTAGTCTCTGAAAATGCTGCTGTCTGCTTTTTATACGTATTCCCGTTTCCAACGAAATCCTCCAAGCTGGCCTAATACCCACTTGCATATTCCACAAAAAGAGTGTTTCAAAACTGCTCTCTCAAAAGAAAGGTTCAACTCTGTTTGCTGAGTAGATACATCATGAAAAAAGTTCTGACATTGCTTCTATCTAGTTTTTATTGGAAGATATCTCCTTTTTCACCGTAGACCTGAAAGCGCTCCAAATGTCCACTTCCAGATAGTACAAAAAGAGGGTTTCAAACCTGCTCTATGAAAGGGAATGTTCAACACTGGGACTTCAATTGAAACATCCCAAAGCAGTTTCTGAGAATGCTTCTGTGTAGAGTTTACATGAAGACATTCCCGTTTCCAACGAAATCCTCAAAGCTATCCAAATATCCTCTTGCAGATTTTACAAAAAGTGTGTTTCAGAACTGCTCTATCAAAACAAAGGTTCAACACTGTCAGTTGAGGGCACACATCACAAATAAGTTTCTGAGAATGCTGCTGTCTGCTTTTTGTATGTAATCCCGTTTCCAACGAAATCCTCCCAGCTAGCCAAATATCCACTTGCAGATTCCGCAAAAAGAGTGTTTCAAAACTGCTCCTTCAAAACGATGGTTTAGTTCTGTTAGTTGAGTACATACATCACAGATAAGTTTCTGAGAATGCTTCTGTCTAGTTTTTATGGGAGGATATTTCCTTTTTCAACACAAGCCTGAATGCGCTCCGAATGGACACTTCCAGATATGACAAAAGGCGTGTTTCAAACCTGCTCTCTCAAAGGGAATGTTCAACTCTGTGACTTCAATGCAAACATCACAAAGAAGTTTCTGAGAATGCTGCTGTCTGCTTTTTACATGTATTCCCGTTTCCAACGAAATCCTCAAAGCTGCCCTAATATCCACTTGCATATTCCACAAAAAGAGTGTTGCAAAACTGCTCTCTCAAAAGAAAGGTTCAACTCTGTTAGCTGAGTAGATCCATCACAGAAAAGTTTCTGACATTGCTCTATCCAGATTTTATTGGAAGATATTTCCATTTTCACCGTCGTCCTGAAAGCGCTCCAATTGTCCACTTCCAGGGAATGCAGAAAGAGTGTTTCCAACCTGCTCTATAAAAGGGAATGTTCAACACTGGGACTTCAATCGAAACATCCCGACGAAGTTTCTGAGAATGCTTTCTGTCTAGAGTTTATATGAAGCCATTCCCGTTTGCAACGAAATCCTCAAAGCTATCCAAATATCCCCTTGCAGATTTTACAAAAAGAGTGTTTCAAAACTGCTCTATCAAAAGAAAGGTTCAACTCTGTTAGTTGAGGGCACACATCACAAATAAACTTCTGAGAATGCTTCTGTCTAGTTTTTACGGGAAGATATTTCCTTTTTCACCATACGCCTGAAAGCGCTCCAAATGTCCTCATCCAGATACTACAAAAAGAGTGTTTCCAACCTGCTCTATGAAAGGGAATGCTCAACTCTGTGAATTGAATGCAGACATCACAAAGAAGTTTCTGAGAATGCTGCTGTCTCCTTTTTATATGTAATCCCGTTTCCAACGAAATCCTCAAAGCTAGCCAAATATCCACTTGCAGATTCCACGAAAACAGTGTTTCAAAACTGCTCCTTCAAAACGATGGTTCAATCCTGTTAGTTGAGCAAACACATCACAAATAAGATTCTGAGAATGCTTCCGTCTAGTTTTTATGGGAAGATATTTCCTTTTTCAACATAGGCCTGAAAGCGCTCCAAATGTCCATTTCCAGATACTACAAAAAGAGTGTTTCAAATCTGCTCTATGAATGGGAATGTTCTACTCTGTGACTTGAATGCAACATCCCAAAGAAGTTTCTGAGAATGCTTCTGTCTAGAGTTTATCTGAAGACATACCCGTTTCCAACGAAATCCTCAAAGCTATCCAAATATCCTCTTGCAGATTCTACAAAAAGTGTGTTTCAAAGCTGCTCTTTGCAAAGAAAGGTTCAACTCTGTCAGTAGAGGGCACACATCACGAACAAGTTTCTGAGAATGCTTCTGTCTAGTTTTTATGGGAAGATATTTCCTTTTTCACGTTAGGCCTGAAAGCACGCCAAATGTTCACTTATAGACACTACAAAAAGAGTGTTTCAAACCTGCTCTGTGAAAGGGAATGTTCAACACTGTGACTTCAATTGAAACATCCCAAAGAAGTTTCTGAGAATGCTTCTGTCTAGAGTTTATCTGAAGACATTCCCGTTTCCCAAGAAATCCTCAAAGCTATCCAAATATCCTCTTGCAGATTCTACAAAAAGAGTGTTTCAAAACTGCTCTTTGCAAAGAAAGGTTCAACTCTGTCAGTAGAGGGCACACATCACAAACAAGTTTCTGAGAATGCTTCTGTCTAGTTTTTATGGGAAGATATTTCCTTTTTCACCTTAGGCCTGAAAGCACGCCAAATGTTCACTTATAGACACTACAAAAAGAGTGTTTCAAACCTGCTCTGTGAAAGGGAGTGTTCAATTCTGTGACTTGAATGCAAACATCACAAAGTAGTTTCTGACAATGCTGCTGTCTGCTTTTTATACGTATTCCCGTTTCCAACGAAATCCTCCAAGCTGGCCTAATACCCACTTGCATATTCCACAAAAAGAGTGTTTCAAAACTGCTCTCTCAAAAGAAAGGTTCAACTCTGTTTGCTGAGTAGATACATCATGAAAAAAGTTCTGACATTGCTTCTATCTAGTTTTTATTGGAAGATATCTCCTTTTTCACCGTAGACCTGAAAGCGCTCCAAATGTCCACTTCCAGATAGTACAAAAAGAGTGTTTCAAACCTGCTCTATGAAAGGGAATGTTCAACACTGGGACTTCAATTGAAACATCCCAAAGCAGTTTCTGAGAATGCTTCTGTCTAGAGTTTACATGAAGACATTCCCGTTTCCAACGAAATCCTCAAAGCTATCCAAATATCCTCTTGCAGATTTTACAAAAAGTGTGTTTCAGAACTGCTCTATCAAAACAAAGGTTCAACACTGTCAGTTGAGGGCACACATCACAAATAAGTTTCTGAGAATGCTGCTGTCTGCTTTTTGTATGTAATCCCGTTTCCAACGAAATCCTCCCAGCTAGCCAAATATCCACTTGCAGATTCCGCAAAAAGAGTGTTTCAAAACTGCCCTTCAAAACGATGGTTTAGTTCTGTTAGTTGAGTACATACATCACAGATAAGTTTCTGAGAATGCTTCTGTCTAGTTTTTCTGGGAGGATATTTCCTTTTTCAACACAAGCCTGAATGCGCTCCGAATGGACACTTCCAGATATGACAAAAGGCGTGTTTCAAACCTGCTCTCTCAAAGGGAATGTTCAACTCTGTGACTTCAATGCAAACATCACAAAGAAGTTTCTGAGAATGCTGCTGTCTGCTTTTTACATGTATTCCCGTTTCCAACGAAATCCTCAAAGCTGCCCTAATATCCACTTGCATATTCCACAAAAAGAGTGTTGCAAAACTGCTCTCTCAAAAGAAAGTTTCAACTCTGTTAGCTGAGTAGATCCATCACAGAAAAGTTTCTGACATTGCTTCTATCTAGATTTTATTGGAAGATATTTCCATTGTCACCGTCGTCCTGAAAGCGCTCCAAATGTGCACTTCCAGGGAATGCAAAAAGAGTGTTTCCAACCTGCTCTATAGAAGGGAATGTTCAACACTGGGACTTCAATCGAAACATCCCAACGAAGTTTCTGAGAATGCTTCTGTCTAGAGTTTATATGAAGCCATTCCCGTTTGCAACGAAATCCTCAAAGCTATCCAAATATCCTCTTGCAGATTTTACAAAAAGAGTGTTTCAAAACTGCTCTATCAAAAGAAAGGTTCAACTCTGTTAGTTGAGGGCACACATCACAAATAAATTTCTGAGAATGCTTCTGTCTAGTTTTCATGGGAAGATATTTCCTTTTTCACCATAGGCCTGAAAGCCGATCCAAATGTCCACATCCAGATACTACAAAAAGAGTGTTTCAAACCTGCTCTATGAAAGGGAATGTTCAACTCTGTGACTTGAATGGAAACATCACAAAGAAGTTTCTGAGAATGCTTCTGTCTAGATTTTATATGAAGATATTCCCGTTTCCAACGAAATCCTCAAAGCTATCCAAATATCCACTTGCAGATTCTACAAAAAGAGTGTTTCAAAACTGCTCTATCAAAAGAAAGGTTCAACTCTGTCAGTTGAGTACACACATCACAAACAAGTTTCTGAGAATGCTTCTGTCTAGTTTTTATGGGAAGGTATTGCCTTTTTCACCATAGGCCTGAAAACGCTACAAATGTCCACTTCCAGATAATGGATAAAGAGTGTTTCAAACATGCTCTGTGAAAGGGAATGTTCAACTCTGTGACTTGAATGCAAACATCACAGAGAAGATTCTGAGAATGCTGCTGTCTGCTTTTAATATGTATTCCCGTTTCCAACAAAATCCTCCAAGCTGCCCTAATATCCACTTGCATATTCCACAAAAAGAGTGTTTCAATACTGCTCTCTCAAAAGAAAGGTTCAACTCTGTTAGCTGAGTAGATACATCATAAAAAAGTTTCTGACATTGCTTCTATCTAGTTTTTATTGGAAGATATCTCCTTTTTCACCGTAGACCTGAAAGCGCTCCAAATGTCCACTTCCAGATAGTACAAAAAGAGTGTTTCAAACCTGCTCTATGAATGGGAATGTTCAACACTGGGACTTCAATTGAAACATCCCAAAGCAGTTTCTGAGAATGCTTCTGTCTAGAGTTTACATGAAGACATTCCCGTTTCCAACGAAATCCTCAAAGCTATCCAAATATCCTCTTGCAGATTTTACAAAAAGTGTGTTTCAGAACTGCTCTATCAAAACAAAGGTTCAACACTGTCAGTTGAGGGCACACATCACAAATAAGTTTCTGAGAATGCT
>NC_000020.11:28256367-28317742 GCF_000001405.40 Homo sapiens | reverse complement strand
CTTCTGTCTAGTTTTCATGGGAAGATATTTCCTTTTTCACCATAGGCCCAAAGCGATCCAAATGTCCACATCCAGATACCACAAAAAGAGTGTTTCACAGCCTCCCAAAGTGCTGGGATTACAGGCGTGAGCCACCACGCCTGGCGTGTAAGCCAATTTTTTAGAAGAAATCTCTCCCTCTCTCTCCACATATCTGTCTAGTTTTTATGGGAGGATATTTCCTTTTTCAACACAAGCCTGAATGCGCTCCGAATGGACACTTCCAGATATGACAAAAGGCGTGTTTCAAACCTGCTCTCTCAAAGGGAATGTTCAACTCTGTGACTTCAATGCAAACATCACAAAGAAGTTTCTGAGAATGCTGCTGTCTGCTTTTTACATGTATTCCCGTTTCCAACGAAATCCTCAAAGCTGCCCTAATATCCACTTGCATATTCCACAAAAAGAGTGTTGCAAAACTGCTCTCTCAAAAGAAAGGTTCAACTCTGTTAGCTGAGTAGATCCATCACATAAAAGTTTCTGACGTTGCTTCTATCTAGATTTTCTTGGAAGATATTTCCATTTTCACCGTCGTCCTGAAAGCGCTCCAAATGTCCACTTCCAGGGAATGCAGAAAGAGTGTTTCCAACCTGCTCTATAAAAGGGAATGTTCAACACTGGGACTTCAATCGAAACATCCCAACGAAGTTTCTGAGAATGCTTCTGTCTAGAGTTTATATGAAGCCATTCCCGTTTGCAACGAAATCCTCAAAGCTATCCAAATATCCTCTTGCAGATTTTACAAAAAGAGTGTTTCAAAACTGCTCTATCAAAAGAAAGGTTCAACTCTGTTAGTTGAGGGCACACATCACAAATAAATTTCTGAGAATCTTCTGTCTAGTTTTCATGGGAAGATATTTCCTTTTTCACCATAGGCCTGAAAGCGATCCAAATGTCCACATCCAGATACTACAAAAAGAGTGTTTCAAACCTGCTCTATGAAAGGGAATGTTCAACTCTGTGACTTGAATGCAAACATCACAAAGAAGTTTCTGAGAATGCTGCTGTCTCCTTTTTATATGTAATCCCGTTTCCAACGAAATCCTCAAAGCTAGCCAAATATCCACTTGCAGATTCCACGAAAACAGTGTTTCAAAACTGCTCCTTCAAAACGATGGTTCAATTCTGTTAGTTGAGCAAACACATCACAAGTAAGTTTCTGAGAATGCTTCCGTCTAGTTTTTATGGGAAGATATTTCCTTTTTCAACATAGGCCTGAAAGCGCTCCAAATGTCCACTTCCAGATACTACAAAAAGAGTGTTTCAAATCTGCTCTATGAATGGGAATGTTCTACTCTGTGACTTGAATGCAACATCCCAAAGAAGTTTCTGAGAATGCTTCTGTCTAGAGTTTATCTGAAGACATACCCGTTTCCAACGAAATCCTCAAAGCTATCCAAATATCCTCTTGCAGATTCTACAAAAAGAGTGTTTCAAAGCTGCTCTTTGCAAAGAAAGGTTCAACTCTGTCAGTAGAGGGCACACATCACGAACAAGTTTCTGAGAATGCTTCTGTCTAGTTTTTATGGGAAGATATTTCCTTTTTCACGTTAGGCCTGAAAGCACGCCAAATGTTCACTTATAGACACTACAAAAAGAGTGTTTCAAACCTGCTCTGTGAAAGGGAATGTTCAACACTGTGACTTCAATTGAAACATCCCAAAGAAGTTTCTGAGAATGCTTCTGTCTAGAGTTTATCTGAAGACATTCCCGTTTCCCAAGAAATCCTCAAAGCTATCCAAATATCCTCTTGCAGATTCTACAAAAAGAGTGTTTCAAAACTGCTCTTTGCAAAGAAAGGTTCAACTCTGTCAGTAGAGGGCACACATCACAAACAAGTTTCTGAGAATGCTTCTGTCTAGTTTTTATGGGAAGATATTTCCTTTTTCACCTTAGGCCTGAAAGCAATCCATATGTTCACTTACAGACACTACAAAAAGAGTGTTTCAAACCTGCTCTGTGAAAGGGAGTGTTCAATTCTGTGACTTGAATGCAAACATCACAAAGTAGTTTCTGACAATGCTGCTGTCTGCTTTTTATACGTATTCCCGTTTCCAACGAAATCCTCCAAGCTGGCCTAATACCCACTTGCATATTCCACAAAAAGAGTGTTTCAAAACTGCTCTCTCAAAAGAAAGGTTCAACTCTGTTTGCTGAGTAGATACATCATGAAAAAAGTTCTGACATTGCTTCTATCTAGTTTTTATTGGAAGATATCTCCTTTTTCACCGTAGACCTGAAAGCGCTCCAAATGTCCACTTCCAGATAGTACAAAAAGAGTGTTTCAAACCTGCTCTATGAAAGGGAATGTTCAACACTGGGACTTCAATTGAAACATCCCAAAGCAGTTTCTGAGAATGCTTCTGTCTAGAGTTTACATGAAGACATTCCCGTTTCCAACGAAATCCTCAAAGCTATCCAAATATCCTCTTGCAGATTTTACAAAAAGTGTGTTTCAGAACTGCTCTATCAAAACAAAGGTTCAACACTGTCAGTTGAGTGCACACATCACAAATAAGTTTCTGAGAATGCTGCTGTCTGCTTTTTGTATGTAATCCCGTTTCCAACGAAATCCTCCCAGCTAGCCAAATATCCACTTGCAGATTCCGCAAAAAGAGTGTTTCAAAACTGCTCCTTCAAAACGATGGTTTAGTTCTGTTAGTTGAGTACATACATCACAGATAAGTTTCTGAGAATGCTTCTGTCTAGTTTTTATGGGAGGATATTTCCTTTTTCAACACAAGCCTGAATGCGCTCCGAATGGACACTTCCAGATATGACAAAAGGCGTGTTTCAAACCTGCTCTCTCAAAGGGAATGTTCAACTCTGTGACTTCAATGCAAACATCACAAAGAAGTTTCTGAGAATGCTGCTGTCTGCTTTTTACATGTATTCCCGTTTCCAACGAAATCCTCAAAGCTGCCCTAATATCCACTTGCATATTCCACAAAAAGAGTGTTGCAAAACTGCTCTCTCAAAAGAAAGGTTCAACTCTGTTAGCTGAGTAGATCCATCACAGAAAAGTTTCTGACGTTGCTTCTATCTAGATTTTCTTGGAAGATATTTCCATTTTCACCGTCGTCCTGAAAGCGCTCCAAATGTCCACTTCCAGGGAATGCAGAAAGAGTGTTTCCAACCTGCTCTATAAAAGGGAATGTTCAACACTGGGACTTCAATCGAAACATCCCAACGAAGTTTCTGAGAATGCTTCTGTCTAGAGTTTATATGAAGCCATTCCCGTTTGCAATGAAATCCTCAAAGCTATCCAAATATCCTCTTGCAGATTTTACAAAAAGAGTGTTTCAAAACTGCTCTATCAAAAGAAAGGTTCAACTCTGTTAGTTGAGGGCACACATCACAAATAAATTTCTGAGAATGCTTCTGTCTAGTTTTTACGGGAAGATATTTCCTTTTTCACCATACGCCTGAAAGCGCTCCAAATGTCCTCATCCAGATACTACAAAAAGAGTGTTTCCAACCTGCTCTATGAAAGGGAATGCTCAACTCTGTGAATTGAATGCAGACATCACAAAGAAGTTTCTGAGAATGCTGCTGTCTCCTTTTTATATGTAATCCCGTTTCCAACGAAATCCTCAAAGCTAGCCAAATATCCACTTGCAGATTCCACGAAAACAGTGTTTCAAAACTGCTCCTTCAAAACGATGGTTCAATCCTGTTAGTTGAGCAAACACATCACAAATAAGTTTCTGAGAATGCTTCCGTCTAGTTTTTATGGGAAGATATTTCCTTTTTCAACATAGGCCTGAAAGCGCTCCAAATGTCCACTTCCAGATACTACAAAAAGAGTGTTTCAAATCTGCTCTATGAATGGGAATGTTCTACTCTGTGACTTGAATGCAACATCCCAAAGAAGTTTCTGAGAATGCTTCTGTCTAGAGTTTATCTGAAGACATACCCGTTTCCAACGAAATCCTCAAAGCTATCCAAATATCCTCTTGCAGATTCTACAAAAAGAGTGTTTCAAAGCTGCTCTTTGCAAAGAAAGGTTCAACTCTGTCAGTAGAGGGCACACATCACAAACAAGTTTCTGAGAATGCTTCTGTCTAGTTTTTATGGGAAGATATTTCCTTTTTCACGTTAGGCCTGAAAGCACGCCAAATGTTCACTTATAGACACTACAAAAAGAGTGTTTCAAACCTGCTCTGTGAAAGGGAATGTTCAACACTGTGACTTCAATTGAAACATCCCAAAGAAGTTTCTGAGAATGCTTCTGTCTAGAGTTTATCTGAAGACATTCCCGTTTCCCAAGAAATCTTCAAAGCTATCCAAATATCCTCTTGCAGATTCTACAAAAAGAGTGTTTCAAAACTGCTCTTTGCAAAGAAAGGTTCAACTCTGACAGTAGAGGGCACACATCACAAACAAGTTTCTGAGAATGCTTCTGTCTAGTTTTTATGGGAAGATATTTCCTTTTTCACCTTAGGCCTGAAAGCAATCCATATGTTCACTTACAGACACTACAAAAAGAGTGTTTCAAACCTGCTCTGTGAAAGGGAGTGTTCAATTCTGTGACTTGAATGCAAATATCACAAAGTAGTTTCTGACAATGCTGCTGTCTGCTTTTTATACTTATTCCCGTTTCCAACGAAATCCTCCAAGCTGGCCTAATACCCACTTGCATATTCCACAAAAAGAGTGTTTCAAAACTGCTCTCTCAAAAGAAAGGTTCAACTCTGTTTGCTGAGTAGATACATCATGAAAAAAGTTCTGACATTGCTTCTATCTAGTTTTTATTGGAAGATATCTCCTTTTTCACCGTAGACCTGAAAGCGCTCCAAATGTCCACTTCCAGATAGTACAAAAAGAGTGTTTCAAACCTGCTCTATGAAAGGGAATGTTCAACACTGGGACTTCAATTGAAACATCCCAAAGCAGTTTCTGAGAATGCTTCTGTGTAGAGTTTACATGAAGACATTCCCGTTTCCAACGAAATCCTCAAATCTATCCAAATATCCTCTTGCAGATTTTACAAAAAGTGTGTTTCAGAACTGCTCTATCAAAACAAAGGTTCAACACTGTCAGTTGAGGGCACACATCACAAATAAGTTTCTGAGAATGCTTCTGTCTAGTTTTCATGGGAAGATATTTCCTTTTTCACCATAGGCCTGAAAGCGATCCAAATGTCCACATCCAGATACTACAAAAAGAGTGTTTCAAACCTGCTCTATGAAAGGGAATGTTCAACTCTGTGACTTGAATGCAAACATCACAAAGAAGTTTCTGAGAATGCTGCTGTCTCCTTTTTATATGTAATCCCGTTTCCAACGAAATCCTCAAAGCTAGCCAAATATCCACTTGCAGATTCCACGAAAACAGTGTTTCAAAACTGCTCCTTCAAAACGATGGTTCAATTCTGTTAGTTGAGCAAACACATCACAAGTAAGTTTCTGAGAATGCTTCCGTCTAGTTTTTATGGGAAGATATTTCCTTTTTCAACATAGGCCTGAAAGCGCTCCAAATGTCCACTTCCAGATACTACAAAAAGAGTGTTTCAAATCTGCTCTATGAATGGGAATGTTCTACTCTGTGACTTGAATGCAACATCCCAAAGAAGTTTCTGAGAATGCTTCTGTCTAGAGTTTATCTGAAGACATACCCGTTTCCAACGAAATCCTCAAAGCTATCCAAATATCCTCTTGCAGATTCTACAAAAAGAGTGTTTCAAAGCTGCTCTTTGCAAAGAAAGGTTCAACTCTGTCAGTAGAGGGCACACATCATGAACAAGTTTCTGAGAATGCTTCTGTCTAGTTTTTATGGGAAGATATTTCCTTTTTCACGTTAGGCCTGAAAGCACGCCAAATGTTCACTTATAGACACTACAAAAAGAGTGTTTCAAACCTGCTCTGTGAAAGGGAATGTTCAACACTGTGACTTCAATTGAAACGTCCCAAAGAAGTTTCTGAGTATGCTTCCGTCTAGAGTTTATGTGAAGACATACCCGTTTCCAACGAAATCCTCAAAGCTATCCACATATCCTCTTGCAGATTCTACAAAAAGAGTGTTTCAAAGCTGCTCTTTGCAAAGAAAGGTTCAACTCTGTCAGTAGAGGGCACACATCACGAACAAGTTTCTGAGAATGCTTCTGTCTAGTTTTTATGGGAAGATATTTCCTTTTTCACGTTAGGCCTGAAAGCACGCCAAATGTTCAATTATAGACACTACAAAAAGAGTGTTTCAAACCTGCTCTGTGAAAGGGAATGTTCAACACTGTGACTTCAATTGAAACATCCCAAAGAAGTTTCTGAGAATGCTTCTGTCTAGAGTTTATCTGAAGACATTCCCGTTTCCCAAGAAATCCTCAAAGCTATCCAAATATCCTCTTGCAGATTCTACAAAAAGAGTGTTTCAAAACTGCTCTTTGCAAAGAAAGGTTCAACTCTGTCAGTAGAGGGCACACATCACAAACAAGTTTCTGAGAATGCTTCTGTCTAGTTTTTATGGGAAGATATTTCCTTTTTCACCTTAGGCCTGAAAGCAATCCAAATGTTCACTTACAGACACTACAAAAAGAGTGTTTCAAACCTGCTCTGTGAAAGGGAGTGTTCAATTCTGTGACTTGAATGCAAATATCACAAAGTAGTTTCTGACAATGCTGCTGTCTGCTTTTTATACGTATTCCCGTTTCCAACGAAATCCTCCAAGCTGGCCTAATACCCACTTGCATATTCCACAAAAATAGTGTTTCAAAACTGCTCCCTCAAAAGAAAGGTTCAACTCTGTTTGCTGAGTAGATACATCATGAAAAAAGTTCTGACATTGCTTCTATCTAGTTTTTATTGGAAGATATCTCCTTTTTCACCGTAGACCTGAAAGCGCTCCAAATGTCCACTTCCAGATAGTACAAAAAGAGTGTTTCAAACCTGCTCTATGAATGGGAATGTTCAACACTGGGACTTCAATTGAAACATCCCAAAGCAGTTTCTGAGAATGCTTCTGTCTAGAGTTTACATGAAGACATTCCCGTTTCCAACGAAATCCTCAAAGCTATCCAAATATCCTCTTGCAGATTTTACAAAAAGTGTGTTTCAGAACTGCTCTATCAAAACAAAGGTTCAACACTGTCAGTTGAGGGCACACATCACAAATAAGTTTCTGAGAATGCTGCTGTCTGCTTTTTGTATGTAATCCCGTTTCCAACGAAATCCTCCCAGCTAGCCAAATATCCACTTGCAGATTCCGCAAAAAGAGTGTTTCAAAACTGCTCCTTCAAAACGATGGTTTAGTTCTGTTAGTTGAGTACATACATCACAGATAAGTTTCTGAGAATGCTTCTGTCTAGTTTTTATGGGAGGATATTTCCTTTTTCAACACAAGCCTGAATGCGCTCCGAATGGACACTTCCAGATATGACAAAAGGCGTGTTTCAAACCTGCTCTCTCAAAGGGAATGTTCAACTCTGTGACTTCAATGCAAACATCACAAAGAAGTTTCTGAGAATGCTGCTGTCTGCTTTTTACATGTATTCCCGTTTCCAACGAAATCCTCAAAGCTGCCCTAATATCCACTTGCATATTCCACAAAAAGAGTGTTGCAAAACTGCTCTCTCAAAAGAAAGGTTCAACTCTGTTAGCTGAGTAGATCCATCACAGAAAAGTTTCTGACGTTGCTTCTATCTAGATTTTCTTGGAAGATATTTCCATTTTCACCGTCGTCCTGAAAGCGCTCCAAATGTCCACTTCCAGGGAATGCAGAAAGAGTGTTTCCAACCTGCTCTATAAAAGGGAATGTTCAACACTGGGACTTCAATCGAAACATCCCAACGAAGTTTCTGAGAATGCTTCTGTCTAGTTTATATGAAGCCATTCCCGTTTGCAACGAAATCCTCAAAGCTATCCAAATATCCTCTTGCAGATTTTACAAAAAGAGTGTTTCAAAACTGCTCTATCAAAAGAAAGGTTCAACTCTGTTAGTTGAGGGCACACATCACAAATAAACTTCTGAGAATGCTTCTGTCTAGTTTTTACGGGAAGATATTTCCTTTTTCACCATACGCCTGAAAGCGCTCCAAATGTCCTCATCCAGATACTACAAAAAGAGTGTTTCCAACCTGCTCTATGAAAGGGAATGCTCAACTCTGTGAATTGAATGCAGACATCACAAAGAAGTTTCTGAGAATGCTGCTGTCTCCTTTGTATATGTAATCCCGTTTCCAACGAAATCCTCAAAGCTAGCCAAATATCCACTTGCAGATTCCACGAAAACAGTGTTTCAAAACTGCTCCTTCAAAACGATGGTTCAATCCTGTTAGTTGAGCAAACACATCACAAATAAGTTTCTGAGAATGCTTCCGTCTAGTTTTTATGGGAAGATATTTCCTTTTTCAACATAGGCCTGAAAGCGCTCCAAATGTCCACTTCCAGATACTACAAAAAGAGTGTTTCAAATCTGCTCTATGAATGGGAATGTTCTACTCTGTGACTTGAATGCAACATCCCAAAGAAGTTTCTGAGAATGCTTCTGTCTAGAGTTTATCTGAAGACATACCCGTTTCCAACGAAATCCTCAAAGCTATCCAAATATCCTCTTGCAGATTCTACAAAAAGAGTGTTTCAAAGCTGCTCTTTGCAAAGAAAGGTTCAACTCTGTCAGTAGAGGGCACACATCACGAACAAGTTTCTGAGAATGCTTCTGTCTAGTTTTTATGGGAAGATATTTCCTTTTTCACGTTAGGCCTGAAAGCACGCCAAATGTTCACTTATAGACACTACAAAAAGAGTGTTTCAAACCTACTCTGTGAAAGGGAATGTTCAACACTGTGACTTCAATTGAAACATCCCAAAGAAGTTTCTGAGAATGCTTCTGTCTAGAGTTTATCTGAAGACATTCCCGTTTCCCAAGAAATCCTCAAAGCTATCCAAATATCCTCTTGCAGATTCTACAAAAAGAGTGTTTCAAAACTGCTCTTTGCAAAGAAAGGCTCAACTCTGTCAGTAGAGGGCACATATCACAAACAAGTTTCTGAGAATGCTTCTGTCTAGTTTTTATGGGAAGATATTTCCTTTTTCACCTTAGGCCTGAAAGCAATCCATATGTTCACTTACAGACACTACAAAAAGAGTGTTTTCAAACCTGCTCTGTGAAAGGGAGTGTTCAATTCTGTGACTTGAATGCAAACATCACAAAGTAGTTTCTGACAATGCTGCTGTCTGCTTTTTATACGTATTCCCGTTTCCAACGAAATCCTCCAAGCTGGCCTAATACCCACTTGCATATTCCACAAAAAGAGTGTTTCAAAACTGCTCTCTCAAAAGAAAGGTTCAACTCTGTTTGCTGAGTAGATACATCATGAAAAAAGTTCTGACATTGCTTCTATCTAGTTTTTATTGGAAGATATCTCCTTTTTCACCGTAGACCTGAAAGCGCTCCAAATGTCCACTTCCAGATAGTACAAAAAGAGTGTTTCAAACCTGCTCTATGAATGGGAATGTTCAACACTGGGACTTCAATTGAAACATCCCAAAGCAGTTTCTGAGAATGCTTCTGTCTAGAGTTTACATGAAGACATTCCCGTTTCCAACGAAATCCTCAGAGCTATCCAAATATCCTCTTGCAGATTTTACAAAAAGTGTGTTTCAGAACTGCTCTATCAAAACAAAGGTTCAACACTGTCAGTTGAGGGCACACATCACAAATAAGTTTCTGAGAATGCTTCTGTCTAGTTTTCATGGGAAGATATTTCCTTTTTCACCATAGGCCTGAAAGCGATCCAAATGTCCACATCCAGATACTACAAAAAGAGTGTTTCAAACCTGCTCTATGAAAGGGAATGTTCAACTCTGTGACTTGAATGCAAACATCACAAAGAAGTTTCTGAGAATGCTGCTGTCTCCTTTTTATATGTAATCCCGTTTCCAACGAAATCCTCAAAGCTAGCCAAATATCCACTTGCAGATTCCACGAAAACAGTGTTTCAAAACTGCTCCTTCAAAACGATGGTTCAATTCTGTTAGTTGAGCAAACACATCACAAGTAAGTTTCTGAGAATGCTTCCGTCTAGTTTTTATGGGAAGATATTTCCTTTTTCAACATAGGCCTGAAAGCGCTCCAAATGTCCACTTCCAGATACTACAAAAAGAGTGTTTCAAATCTGCTCTATGAATGGGAATGTTCTACTCTGTGACTTGAATGCAACATCCCAAAGAAGTTTCTGAGAATGCTTCTGTCTAGAGTTTATCTGAAGACATACCCGTTTCCAACGAAATCCTCAAAGCTATCCAAATATCCTCTTGCAGATTCTACAAAAAGAGTGTTTCAAAGCTGCTCTTTGCAAAGAAAGGTTCAACTCTGTCAGTAGAGGGCACACATCATGAACAAGTTTCTGAGAATGCTTCTGTCTAGTTTTTATGGGAAGATATTTCCTTTTTCACGTTAGGCCTGAAAGCACGCCAAATGTTCACTTATAGACACTACAAAAAGAGTGTTTCAAACCTGCTCTGTGAAAGGGAATGTTCAACACTGTGACTTCAATTGAAACATCCCAAAGAAGTTTCTGAGAATGCTTCTGTCTAGAGTTTATCTGAAGACATTCCCGTTTCCAACGAAATCCTCAAAGCTATCCACATATCCTCTTGCAGATTCTACAAAAAGAGTGTTTCAAAGCTGCTCTTTGCAAAGAAAGGTTCAACTCTGTCAGTAGAGGGCACACATCACAAACAAGTTTCTGAGAATGCTTCTGTCTAGTTTAGTTTTTATGGGAAGATATTTCCTTTTTCACCTTAGGCCTGAAAGCAATCCATATGTTCACTTACAGACACTACAAAAAGAGTGTTTCAAACCTGCTCTGTGAAAGGGAGTGTTCAATTCTGTGACTTGAATGCAAACATCACAAAGTAGTTTCTGACAATGCTGCTGTCTGCTTTTTATACGTATTCCCGTTTCCAACGAAATCCTCCAAGCTGGCCTAATACCCACTTGCATATTCCACAAAAAGAGTGTTTCAAAACTGCTCTCTCAAAAGAAAGGTTCAACTCTGTTTGCTGAGTAGATACATCATGAAAAAAGTTCTGACATTGCTTCTATCTAGTTTTTATTGGAAGATATCTCCTTTTTCACCGTAGACCTGAAAGCGCTCCAAATGTCCACTTCCAGATAGTACAAAAAGAGTGTTTCAAACCTGCTCTATGAAAGGGAATGTTCAACACTGGGACTTCAATTGAAACATCCCAAAGCAGTTTCTGAGAATGCTTCTGTCTAGAGTTTACATGAAGACATTCCCGTTTCCAACGAAATCCTCAAAGCTATCCAAATATCCTCTTGCAGATTTTACAAAAAGTGTGTTTCAGAACTGCTCTATCAAAACAAAGGTTCCACACTGTCAGTTGAGGGCACACATCACAAATAAGTTTCTGAGAATGCTTCTGTCTAGTTTTCATGGGAAGATATTTCCTTTTTCACCATAGGCCTGAAAGCGATCCAAATGTCCACATCCAGATACTACAAAAAGAGTGTTTCAAACCTGCTCTATGAAAGGGAATGTTCAACTCTGTGACTTGAATGCAAACATCACAAAGAAGTTTCTGAGAATGCTGCTGTCTCCTTTTTATATGTAATCCCGTTTCCAACGAAATCCTCAAAGCTAGCCAAATATCCACTTGCAGATTCCACGAAAACAGTGTTTCAAAACTGCTCCTTCAAAACGATGGTTCAATCCTGTTAGTTGAGCAAACACATCACAAATAAGTTTCTGAGAATGCTTCCGTCTAGTTTTTATGGGAAGATATTTCCTTTTTCAACATAGGCCTGAAAGCGCTCCAAATGTCCACTTCCAGATACTACAAAAAGAGTGTTTCAAATCTGCTCTATGAATGGGAATGTTCTACTCTGTGACTTGAATGCAACATCCCAAAGAAGTTTCTGAGAATGCTTCTGTCTAGAGTTTATCTGAAGACATACCCGTTTCCAACGAAATCCTCAAAGCTATCCAAATATCCTCTTGCAGATTCTACAAAAAGAGTGTTTCAAAGCTGCTCTTTGCAAAGAAAGGTTCAACTCTGTCAGTAGAGGGCACACATCATGAACAAGTTTCTGAGAATGCTTCTGTCTAGTTTTTATGGGAAGATATTTCCTTTTTCACGTTAGGCCTGAAAGCACGCCAAATGTTCACTTATAGACACTACAAAAAGAGTGTTTCAAACCTGCTCTGTGAAAGGGAATGTTCAACACTGTGACTTCAATTGAAACATCCCAAAGAAGTTTCTGAGAATGCTTCTGTCTAGAGTTTATCTGAAGACATTCCCGTTTCCCAAGAAATCTTCAAAGCTATCCAAATATCCTCTTGCAGATTCTACAAAAAGAGTGTTTCAAAACTGCTCTTTGCAAAGAAAGGTTCAACTCTGACAGTAGAGGGCACACATCACAAACAAGTTTCTGAGAATGCTTCTGTCTAGTTTTTATGGGAAGATATTTCCTTTTTCACCTTAGGCCTGAAAGCAATCCAAATGTTCACTTACAGACACTACAAAAAGAGTGTTTCAAACCTGCTCTGTGAAAGGGAGTGTTCAATTCTGTGACTTGAATGCAAACATCACAAAGTAGTTTCTGACAATGCTGCTGACTGCTTTTTATACGTATTCCCGTTTCCAACGAAATCCTCCAAGCTGGCCTAATACCCACTTGCATATTCCACAAAAAGAGTGTTTCAAAACTGCTCTCCCAAAAGAAAGGTTCAACTCTGTTTGCTGAGTAGATACATCATGAAAAAAGTTCTGACATTGCTTCTATCTAGTTTTTATTGGAAGATATCTCCTTTTTCACCGTAGACCTGAAAGCGCTCCAAATGTCCACTTCCAGATAGTACAAAAAGAGTGTTTCAAACCTGCTCTATGAAAGGGAATGTTCAACACTGGGACTTCAATTGAAACATCCCAAAGCAGTTTCTGAGAATGCTTCTGTCTAGAGTTTACATGAAGACATTCCCGTTTCCAATGAAATCCTCAAAGCTATCCAAATATCCTCTTGCAGATTTTACAAAAAGTGTGTTTCAGAACTGCTCTATCAAAACAAAGGTTCAACACTGTCAGTTGAGGGCACACATCACAAATAAGTTTCTGAGAATGCTTCTGTCTAGTTTTCATGGGAAGATATTTCCTTTTTCACCATAGGCCTGAAAGCGATCCAAATGTCCACATCCAGATACTACAAAAAGAGTGTTTCAAACCTGCTCTATGAAAGGGAATGTTCAACTCTGTGACTTGAATGCAAACATCACAAAGAAGTTTCTGAGAATGCTGCTGTCTCCTTTTTATATGTAATCCCGTTTCCAACGAAATCCTCAAAGCTAGCCAAATATCCACTTGCAGATTCCACGAAAACAGTGTTTCAAAACTGCTCCTTCAAAACGATGGTTCAATCCTGTTAGTTGAGCAAACACATCACAAATAAGTTTCTGAGAATGCTTCCGTCTAGTTTTTATGGGAAGATATTTCCTTTTTCAACATAGGCCTGAAAGCGCTCCAAATGTCCACTTCCAGATACTACAAAAAGAGTGTTTCAAATCTGCTCTATGAATGGGAATGTTCTACTCTGTGACTTGAATGCAACATCCCAAAGAAGTTTCTGAGAATGCTTCTGTCTAGAGTTTATCTGAAGACATACCCGTTTCTAACGAAATCCTCCAAGCTATCCAAATATCCTCTTGCAGATTCTACAAAAAGAGTGTTTCAAAGCTGCTCTTTGCAAAGAAAGGTTCAACTCTGTCAGTAGAGGGGACACATCAAGAACAAGTTTCTGAGAATGCTTCTGTCTAGTTTTTATGGGAAGATATTTCCTTTTTCACGTTAGGCCTGAAAGCACGCCAAATGTTCACTTATAGACACTACAAAAAGAGTGTTTCAAACCTGCTCTGTGAAAGGGAATGTTCAACACTGTGACTTCAATTGAAACATCCCAAAGAAGTTTCTGAGAATGCTTCTGTCTAGAGTTTATCTGAAGACATTCCCGTTTCCCAAGAAATCCTCAAAGCTATCCAAATATCCTCTTGCAGATTCTACAAAAAGAGTGTTTCAAAACTGCTCTTTGCAAAGAAAGGTTCAACTCTGTCAGTAGAGGGCACACATCACAAACAAGTTTCTGAGAATGCTTCTGTCTAGTTTTTATGGGAAGATATTTCCTTTTTCACCTTAGGCCTGAAAGCAATCCAAATGTTCACTTACAGACACTACAAAAAGAGTGTTTCAAACCTGCTCTGTGAAAGGCAGTGTTCCATTCTGTGACTTGCATGCAAACATCACAAAGTAGTTTCTGACAATGCTGCTGTCTGCTTTTTATACGTATTCCCGTTTCCAACGAAATCCTCCAAGCTGGCCTAATACCCACTTGCATATTCCACAAAAAGAGTGTTTCAAAACTGCTCTCTCAAAAGAAAGGTTCAACTCTGTTAGCTGAGTAGATACATCATGAAAAAAGTTCTGACATTGCTTCTATCTAGTTTTTATTGGAAGATATCTCCTTTTTCACCGTAGACCTGAAAGCGCTCCAAATGTCCACTTCCAGATAGTACAAAAAGAGTGTTTCAAACCTGCTCTATGAAAGGGAATGTTCAACACTGGGACTTCAATTGAAACATCCCAAAGCAGTTTCTGAGAATGCTTCTGTCTAGAGTTTACATGAAGACATTCCCGTTTCCAACGAAATCCTCAAAGCTATCCAAATATCCTCTTGCAGATTTTACAAAAAGTGTGTTTCAGAACTGCTCTATCAAAACAAAGGTTCAACACTGTCAGTTGAGGGCACACATCACAAATAAGTTTCTGAGAATGCTGCTGTCTGCTTTTTGTATGTAATCCCGTTTCCAACGAAATCCTCCCAGCTAGCCAAATATCCACTTGCAGATTCCGCAAAAAGAGTGTTTCAAAACTGCTCCTTCAAAACGATGGTTTAGTTCTGTTAGTTGAGTACATACATCACAGATAAGTTTCTGAGAATGCTTCTGTCTAGTTTTTATGGGAGGATATTTCCTTTTTCAACACAAGCCTGAATGCGCTCCGAATGGACACTTCCAGATATGACAAAAGGCGTGTTTCAAACCTGCTCTCTCAAAGGGAATGTTCAACTCTGTGACTTCAATGCAAACATCACAAAGAAGTTTCTGAGAATGCTGCTGTCTGCTTTTTACATGTATTCCCGTTTCCAACGAAATCCTCAAAGCTGCCCTAATATCCACTTGCATATTCCACAAAAAGAGTGTTGCAAAACTGCTCTCTCAAAAGAAAGGTTCAACTCTGTTAGCTGAGTAGATCCATCACAGAAAAGTTTCTGACATTGCTTCTATCTAGATTTTCTTGGAAGATATTTCCATTTTCACCGTCGTCCTGAAAGCGCTCCAAATGTCCACTTCCAGGGAATGCAGAAAGAGTGTTTCCAACCTGCTCTATAAAAGGGAATGTTCAACACTGGGACTTCAATCGAAACATCCCAACGAGGTTTCTGAGAATGCTTCTGTCTAGAGTTTATATGAAGCCATTCCCGTTTGCAACGAAATCCTCAAAGCTATCCAAATATCCTCTTGCAGATTTTACAAAAAGAGTGTTTCAAAACTGCTCTATCAAAAGAAAGGTTCAACTCTGTTAGTTGAGGGCACACATCACAAATAAATTTCTGAGAATGCTTCTGTCTAGTTTTTACGGGAAGATATTTCCTTTTTCACCATACGCCTGAAAGCGCTCCAAATGTCCTCATCCAGATACTACAAAAAGAGTGTTTCCAACCTGCTCTATGAAAGGGAATGCTCAACTCTGTGACTTGAATGCAGACATCACAAAGAAGTTTCTGAGAATGCTGCTGTCTCCTTTTTATATGTAATCCCGTTTCCAACGAAATCCTCAAAGCTAGCCAAATATCCACTTGCAGATTCCACGAAAACAGTGTTTCAAAACTGCTCCTTCAAAACGATGGTTCAATCCTGTTAGTTGAGCAAACACATCACAAATAAGTTTCTGAGAATGCTTCCGTCTAGTTTTTATGGGAAGATATTTCCTTTTTCAACATAGGCCTGAAAGCGCTCCAAATGTCCACTTCCAGATACTACAAAAAGAGTGTTTCAAATCTGCTCTATGAATGGGAATGTTCTACTCTGTGACTTGAATGCAACATCCCAAAGAAGTTTCTGAGAATGCTTCTGTCTAGAGTTTATCTGAAGACATACCCGTTTCCAACGAAATCCTCCAAGCTATCCAAATATCCTCTTGCAGATTCTACAAATGTGTGTTTCAAAGCTGCTCTTTGCAAAGAAAGGTTCAACTCTGTCAGTAGAGGGCACACATCACGAACAAGTTTCTGAGAATGCTTCTGTCTGGTTTTTATGGGAAGATATTTCCTTTTTCACGTTACGCCTGAAAGCACGCCAAATGTTCACTTATAGACACTACAAAAAGAGTGTTTCAAACCTGCTCTGTGAAAGGGAATGTTCAACACTGTGACTTCAATTGAAACATCCCAAAGAAGTTTCTGAGAATGCTTCTGTCTAGAGTTTATCTGAAGACATTCCCGTTTCCCAAGAAATCCTCAAAGCTATCCAAATATCCTCTTGCAGATTCTACAAAAAGAGTGTTTCAAAACTGCTCTTTGCAAAGAAAGGTTCAACTCTGTCAGTAGAGGGCACACATCACAAACAAGTTTCTGAGAATGCTTCTGTCTAGTTTTTATGGGAAGATATTTCCTTTTTCACCTTAGGCCTGAAAGCAATCCAAATGTTCACTTACAGACACTACAAAAAGAGTGTTTCAAACCTGCTCTGTGAAAGGGAGTGTTCAGTTCTGTGACTTGAATGCAAACATCACAAAGTAGTTTCTGACAATGCTGCTGTCTGCTTTTTATACGTATTCCCGTTTCCAACGAAATCCTCCAAGCTGGCCTAATACCCACTTGCATATTCCACAAAAAGAGTGTTTCAAAACTGCTCTCTCAAAAGAAAGGTTCAACTCTGTTTGCTGAGTAGATACATCATGAAAAAAGTTCTGACATTGCTTCTATCTAGTTTTTATTGGAAGATATCTCCTTTTTCACCGTAGACCTGAAAGCGCTCCAAATGTCCACTTCCAGATAGTACAAAAAGAGTGTTTCAAACCTGCTCCTATGAAAGGGAATGTTCAACACTGGGACTTCAATTGAAACATCCCAAAGCAGTTTCTGAGAATGCTTCTGTGTAGAGTTTACATGAAGACATTCCCGTTTCCAACGAAATCCTCAAAGCTATCCAAATATCCTCTTGCAGATTTTACAAAAAGTGTGTTTCAGAACTGCTCTATCAAAACAAAGGTTCAACACTGTCAGTTGAGGGCACACATCACCAATAAGTTTCTGAGAATGCTGCTGTCTGCTTTTTGTATGTAATCCCGTTTCCAACGAAATCCTCCCAGCTAGCCAAATATCCACTTGCAGATTCCGCAAAAAGAGTGTTTCAAAACTGCTCCTTCAAAACGATGGTTTAGTTCTGTTAGTTGAGTACATACATCACAGATAAGTTTCTGAGAATGCTTCTGTCTAGTTTTTATGGGAGGATATTTCCTTTTTCAACACAAGCCTGAATGCGCTCCGAATGGACACTTCCAGATATGACAAAAGGCGTGTTTCAAACCTGCTCTCTCAAAGGGAATGTTCAACTCTGTGACTTCAATGCAAACATCACAAAGAAGTTTCTGAGAATGCTGCTGTCTGCTTTTTACATGTATTCCCGTTTCCAACGAAATCCTCAAAGCTGCCCTAATATCCACTTGCATATTCCACAAAAAGAGTGTTGCAAAACTGCTCTCTCAAAAGAAAGGTTCAACTCTGTTAGCTGAGTAGATCCATCACATAAAAGTTTCTGACATTGCTTCTATCTAGATTTTATTGGAAGATATTTCCATTTTCACCGTCGTCCTGAAAGCGCTCCAAATGTCCACTTCCAGATACTACAAAAAGAGTGTTTCAAACCTGCTCTATAAAAAGGAATGTTCAACACTGTGACTTCAATCGAAACATCCCAACGAAGTTTCTGAGAATGCTTGTGTCTAGAGTTTATCTGAAGACATACCCGTTTCCAACGAAATCCTCAAAGCTATCCAAATATCCTCTTGCAGATTCTACAAAAAGAGTGTTTCAAAGCTGCTCTTTGCAAAGAAAGGTTCAACTCTGTCAGTAGAGGGCACACATCACAAACAAGTTTCTGAGAATGCTTCTGTCTAGTTTTTATGGGAAGATATTTCCTTTTTCACGTTAGGCCTGAAAGCACGCCAAATGTTCACTTATAGACACTACAAAAAGAGTGTTTCAAACCTGCTCTGTGAAAGGGAATGTTCAACACTGTGACTTCAATTGAAACATCCCAAAGAAGTTTCTGAGAATGCTTCTGTCTAGAGTTTATCTGAAGACATTCCCGTTTCCCAAGAAATCCTCAAAGCTATCCAAATATCCTCTTGCAGATTCTACAAAAAGAGTGTTTCAAAACTGCTCTTTGCAAAGAAAGGTTCAACTCTGTCAGTAGAGGGCACACATCACAAACAAGTTTCTGAGAATGCTTCTGTCTAGTTTTTATGGGAAGATATTTCCTTTTTCACCTTAGGCCTGAAAGCAATCCATATGTTCACTTACAGACACTACAAAAAGAGTGTTTCAAACCTGCTCTGTGAAAGGGAGTGTTCAATTCTGTGACTTGAATGCAAACATCACAAAGTAGTTTCTGACAATGCTGCTGTCTGCTTTTTATACGTATTCCCGTTTCCAACGAAATCCTCCAAGCTGGCCTAATACCCACTTGCATATTCCACAAAAAGAGTGTTTCAAAACTGCTCTCTCAAAAGAAAGGTTCAACTCTGTTTGCTGAGTAGATACATCATGAAAAAAGTTCTGACATTGCTTCTATCTAGTTTTTATTGGAAGATATCTCCTTTTTCACCGTAGACCTGAAAGCGCTCCAAATGTCCACTTCCAGATAGTACAAAAAGAGTGTTTCAAACCTGCTCTATGAATGGGAATGTTCAACACTGGGACTTCAATTGAAACATCCCAAAGCAGTTTCTGAGAATGCTTCTGTCTAGAGTTTACATGAAGACATTCCCGTTTCCAACGAAATCCTCAAAGCTATCCAAATATCCTCTTGCAGATTTTACAAAAAGTGTGTTTCAGAACTGCTCTATCAAAACAAAGGTTCAACACTGTCAGTTGAGGGCACACATCACAAATAAGTTTCTGAGAATGCTGCTGTCTGCTTTTTGTATGTAATCCCGTTTCCAACGAAATCCTCCCAGCTAGCCAAATATCCACTTGCAGATTCCGCAAAAAGAGTGTTTCAAAACTGCTCCTTCAAAACGATGGTTTAGTTCTGTTAGTTGAGTACATACATCACAGATAAGTTTCTGAGAATGCTTCTGTCTAGTTTTTCTGGGAGGATATTTCCTTTTTCAACACAAGCCTGAATGCGCTCCGAATGGACACTTCCAGATATGACAAAAGGCGTGTTTCAAACCTGCTCTCTCAAAGGGAATGTTCAACTCTGTGACTTCAATGCAAACATCACAAAGAAGTTTCTGAGAATGCTGCTGTCTGCTTTTTACATGTATTCCCGTTTCCAACGAAATCCTCAAAGCTGCCCTAATATCCACTTGCATATTCCACAAAAAGAGTGTTGCAAAACTGCTCTCTCAAAAGAAAGGTTCAACTCTGTTAGCTGAGTAGATCCATCACATAAAAGTTTCTGACATTGCTTCTATCTAGATTTTCTTGGAAGATATTTCCATTTTCACCGTCGTCCTGAAAGCGCTCCAAATGTCCACTTCCAGGGAATGCAGAAAGAGTGTTTCCAACCTGCTCTATAAAAGGGAATGTTCAACACTGGGACTTCAATCGAAACATCCCAACGAAGTTTCTGAGAATGCTTCTGTCTAGAGTTTATATGAAGCCATTCCCGTTTGCAATGAAATCCTCAAAGCTATCCAAATATCCTCTTGCAGATTTTACAAAAAGAGTGTTTCAAAACTGCTCTATCAAAAGAAAGGTTCAACTCTGTTAGTTGAGGGCACACATCACAAATAAATTTCTGAGAATGCTTCTGTCTAGTTTTTACGGGAAGATATTTCCTTTTTCACCATACGCCTGAAAGCGCTCCAAATGTCCTCATCCAGATACTACAAAAAGAGTGTTTCCAACCTGCTCTATGAAAGGGAATGCTCAACTGCTGTGAATTGAATGCAGACATCACAAAGAAGTTTACTGAGAATGCTGGCTGTCTCCTTTTTATATGTAATCCCGTTTCCAACGAAATCCTCAAAGCTAGCCAAATATCCACTTGCAGATTCCACGAAAACAGTGTTTCAAAACTGCTCCTTCAAAACGATGGTTCAATCCTGTTAGTTGAGCAAACACATCACAAATAAGTTTCTGAGAATGCTTCCGTCTAGTTTTTATGGGAAGATATTTCCTTTTTCAACATAGGCCTGAAAGCGCTCCAAATGTCCACTTCCAGATACTACAAAAAGAGTGTTTCAAATCTGCTCTATGAATGGGAATGTTCTACTCTGTGACTTGAATGCAACATCCCAAAGAAGTTTCTGAGAATGCTTCTGTCTAGAGTTTATCTGAAGACATACCCGTTTCCAACGAAATCCTCAAAGCTATCCAAATATCCTCTTGCAGATTCTACAAAAAGAGTGTTTCAAAGCTGCTCTTTGCAAAGAAAGGTTCAACTCTGTCAGTAGAGGGCACACATCATGAACAAGTTTCTGAGAATGCTTCTGTCTAGTTTTTATGGGAAGATATTTCCTTTTTCACGTTAGGCCTGAAAGCACGTGAAATGTTCACTTATACACACTACAAAAAGAGTGTTTCAAACCTGCTCTGTGAAAGGGAATGTTCAACACTGTGACTTCAATTGAAACATCCCAAAGAAGTTTCTGAGAATGCTTCTGTCTAGAGTTTATCTGAAGACATTCCCGTTTCCCAAGAAATCTTCAAAGCTATCCAAATATCCTCTTGCAGATTCTACAAAAAGAGTGTTTCAAAACTGCTCTTTGCAAAGAAAGGTTCAACTCTGTCAGTAGAGGGCACACATCACAAACAAGTTTCTGAGAATGCTTCTGTCTAGTTTTTATGGGAAGATATTTCCTTTTTCACCTTAGGCCTGAAAGCAATCCAAATGTTCACTTACAGACACTACAAAAAGAGTGTTTCAAACCTGCTCTGTGAAAGGGAGTGTTCAATTCTGTGACTTGAATGCAAACATCACAAAGTAGTTTCTGACAATGCTGCTGTCTGCTTTTTATACGTATTCCCGTTTCCAACGAAATCCTCCAAGCTGGCCTAATACCCAATTACATATTCCACAAAGACTGTGTCAAAACTGCTCTCTCAAAAGAAAGGTTCAACTCTGTTTGCTGAGTAGATACATCATGAAAAAAGTTCTGACATTGCTTCTATCTAGTTTTTATTGGAAGATATCCCCTTTTTCACCGTAGACCTGAAAGCGCTCCAAATGTCCACTTCCAGATAGTACAAAAAGAGTGCTTCAAACCTGCTCTATGAATGGGAATGTTCAACACTGGGACTTCAATTGAAACATCCCAAAGCAGTTTCTGAGAATGCTTCTGTCTAGAGTTTACATGAAGACATTCCCGTTTCCAACGAAATCCTCAAAGCTATCCAAATATCCTCTTGCAGATTTTACAAAAAGTGTGTTTCAGAACTGCTCTATCAAAACAAAGGTTCAACACTGTCAGTTGAGGGCACACATCACAAATAAGTTTCTGAGAATGCTGCTGTCTGCTTTTTGTATGTAATCCCGTTTCCAACGAAATCCTCCCAGCTAGCCAAATATCCACTTGCAGATTCCGCAAAAAGAGTGTTTCAAAACTGCTCCTTCAAAACGATGGTTTAGTTCTGTTAGTTGAGTACATACATCACAGATAAGTTTCTGAGAATGCTTCTGTCTAGTTTTTATGGGAGGATATTTCCTTTTTCAACACAAGCCTGAATGCGCTCCGAATGGACACTTCCAGATATGACAAAAGGCGTGTTTCAAACCTGCTCTCTCAAAGGGAATGTTCAACTCTGTGACTTCAATGCAAACATCACAAAGAAGTTTCTGAGAATGCTGCTGTCTGCTTTTTACATGTATTCCCGTTTCCAACGAAATCCTCAAAGCTGCCCTAATATCCACTTGCATATTCCACAAAAAGAGTGTTGCAAAACTGCTCTCTCAAAAGAAAGGTTCAACTCTGTTAGCTGAGTAGATCCATCACATAAAAGTTTCTGACATTGCTTCTATCTAGATTTTCTTGGAAGATATTTCCATTTTCACCGTCGTCCTGAAAGCGCTCCAAATGTCCACTTCCAGGGAATGCAGAAAGAGTGTTTCCAACCTGCTCTATAAAAGGGAATGTTCAACACTGGGACTTCAATCGAAACATCCCAACGAAGTTTCTGAGAATGCTTCTGTCTAGAGTTTATATGAAGCCATTCCCGTTTGCAACGAAATCCTCAAAGCTATCCAAATATCCTCTTGCAGATTTTACAAAAAGAGTGTTTCAAAACTGCTCTATCAAAAGAAAGGTTCAACTCTGTTAGTTGAGGGCACACATCACAAATAAACTTCTGAGAATTCTTCTGTCTAGTTTTTACGGGAAGATATTTCCTTTTTCACCATACGCCTGAAAGCGCTCCAAATGTCCTCATCCAGATACTACAAAAAGAGTGTTTCCAACCTGCTCTATGAAAGGGAATGCTCAACTCTGTGAATTGAATGCAGACATCACAAAGAAGTTTCTGAGAATGCTGCTGTCTCCTTTTTATATGTAATCCCGTTTCCAAAGAAATCCTCAAAGCTAGCCAAATATCCACTTGCAGATTCCACGAAAACAGTGTTTCAAAACTGCTCCTTCAAAACGATGGTTCAATCCTGTTAGTTGAGCAAACACATCACAAATAAGTTTCTGAGAATGCTTCCGTGTAGTTTTTATGGGAAGATATTTCCTTTTTCAACATAGGCCTGAAAGCGCTCCAAATGTCCACTTCCAGATACTACAAAAAGAGTGTTTCAAATCTGCTCTATGAATGGGAATGTTCTACTCTGTGACTTGAATGCAACATCCCAAAGAAGTTTCTGAGAATGCTTCTGTCTAGAGTTTATCTGAAGACATACCCGTTTCCAACGAAATCCTCCAAGCTATCCAAATATCCTCTTGCAGATTCTACAAAAAGAGTGTTTCAAAGCTGCTCTTTGCAAAGAAAGGTTCAACTCTGTCAGTAGAGGGGACACATCAAGAACAAGTTTCTGAGAATGCTTCTGTCTAGTTTTTATGGGAAGATATTTCCTTTTTCACGTTAGGCCTGAAAGCACGCCAAATGTTCACTTATAGACACTACAAAAAGAGTGTTTCAAACCTGCTCTGTGAAAGGGAATGTTCAACACTGACTTCAATTGAAACATCCCAAAGAAGTTTCTGAGAATGCTTCTGTCTAGAGTTTATCTGAAGACATTCCCGTTTCCCAAGAAATCCTCAAAGCTATCCAAATATCCTCTTGCAGATTCTACAAAAAGAGTGTTTCAAAACTGCTCTTTGCAAAGAAAGGTTCAACTCTGTCAGTAGAGGGCACACATCACAAACAAGTTTCTGAGAATGCTTCTGTCTAGTTTTTATGGGAAGATATTTCCTTTTTCACCTTAGGCCTGAAAGCAATCCATATGTTCACTTACAGACACTACAAAAAGAGTGTTTCAAACCTGCTCTGTGAAAGGGAGTGTTCAATTCTGTGACTTGAATGCAAACATCACAAAGTAGTTTCTGACAATGCTGCTGTCTGCTTTTTATACGTATTCCCGTTTCCAACGAAATCCTCCAAGCTGGCCTAATACCCACTTGCATATTCCACAAAAAGAGTGTTTCAAAACTGCTCTCTCAAAAGAAAGGTTCAACTCTGTTTGCTGAGTAGATACATCATGAAAAAAGTTCTGACATTGCTTCTATCTAGTTTTTATTGGAAGATATCTCCTTTTTCACCGTAGGACCTGAAAGCGCTCCAAATGTCCACTTCCAGATAGTACAAAAAGAGTGTTTCAAACCTGCTCTATGAATGGGAATGTTCAACACTGGGACTTCAATTGAAACATCCCAAAGCAGTTTCTGAGAATGCTTCTGTGTAGAGTTTACATGAAGACATTCCCGTTTCCAACGAAATCCTCAAAGCTATCCAAATATCCTCTTGCAGATTTTACAAAAAGTGTGTTTCAGAACTGCTCTATCAAAACAAAGGTTCAACACTGTCAGTTGAGGGCACACATCACAAATAAGTTTCTGAGAATGCTGCTGTCTGCTTTTTGTATGTAATCCCGTTTCCAACGAAATCCTCCCAGCTAGCCAAATATCCACTTGCAGATTCCGCAAAAAGAGTGTTTCAAAACTGCTCCTTCAAAACGATGGTTTAGTTCTGTTAGTTGAGTACATACATCACAGATAAGTTTCTGAGAATGCTTCTGTCTAGTTTTTATGGGAGGATATTTCCTTTTTCAACACAAGCCTGAATGCGCTCCGAATGGACACTTCCAGATATGACAAAAGGCGTGTTTCAAACCTGCTCTCTCAAAGGGAATGTTCAACTCTGTGACTTCAATGCAAACATCACAAAGAAGTTTCTGAGAATGCTGCTGTCTGCTTTTTACATGTATTCCCGTTTCCAACGAAATCCTCAAAGCTGCCCTAATATCCACTTGCATATTCCACAAAAAGAGTGTTGCAAAACTGCTCTCTCAAAAGAAAGGTTCAACTCTGTTAGCTGAGTAGATCCATCACATAAAAGTTTCTGACATTGCTTCTATCTAGATTTTCTTAGAAGATATTTCCATTTTCACCGTCGTCCTGAAAGCGCTCCAAATGTCCACTTCCAGGGAATGCAAAAAGAGTGTTTCCAACCTGCGCTATAAAAGGGAATGTTCAACACTGGGACTTCAATCGAAACATCCCAACGAAGTTTCTGAGAATGCTTCTGTCTAGAGTTTATATGAAGCCATTCCCGTTTGCAATGAAATCCTCAAAGCTATCCAAATATCCTCTTGCAGATTTTACAAAAAGAGTGTTTCAAAACTGCTCTATCAAAAGAAAGGTTCAACTCTGTTAGTTGAGGGCACACATCACAAATAAATTTCTGAGAATGCTTCTGTCTAGTTTTTACGGGAAGATATTTCCTTTTTCACCATAGGCCTGAAAGCGCTCCAAATGTCCTCATCCAGATACTACAAAAAGAGTGTTTCCAACCTGCTCTATGAAAGGGAATGCTCAACTCTGTGACTTGAATGCAGACATCACAAAGAAGTTTCTGAGAATGCTGCTGTCTCCTTTTTATATGTAATCCCGTTTCCAACGAAATCCTCAAAGCTAGCCAAATATCCACTTGCAGATTCTACGAAAACAGTGTTTCAAAACTGCTCCTTCAAAACGATGGTTCAATTCTGTTAGTTGAGCAAACACATCACAAGTAAGTTTCTGAGAATGCTTCCGTCTAGTTTTTATGGGAAGATATTTCGTTTCTCAACATAGGCCTGAAAGCGCTCCAAATGTCCACTTCCAGATACTACAAAAAGAGTGTTTCAAATCTGCTCTATGAATGGGAATGTTCTACTCTGTGACTTGAATGCAACATCCCAAAGAAGTTTCTGAGAATGCTTCTGTCTAGAGTTTATCTGAAGACATACCCGTTTCCAACGAAATCCTCAAAGCTATCCAAATATCCTCTTGCAGATTCTACAAAAAGAGTGTTTCAAAGCTGCTCTTTGCAAAGAAAGGTTCAACTCTGTCAGTAGAGGGCACACATCACGAACAAGTTTCTGAGAATGCTTCTGTCTAGTTTTTATGGGAAGATATTTCCTTTTTCACGTTACGCCTGAAAGCACGCCAAATGTTCACTTATAGACACTACAAAAAGAGTGTTTCAAACCTGCTCTGTGAAAGGGAATGTTCAACACTGACTTCAATTGAAACATCCCAAAGAAGTTTCTGAGAATGCTTCTGTCTAGAGTTTATCTGAAGACATTCCCGTTTCCCAAGAAATCCTCAAAGCTATCCAAATATCCTCTTGCAGATTCTACAAAAAGAGTGTTTCAAAACTGCTCTTTGCAAAGAAAGGTTCAACTCTGTCAGTAGAGGGCACACATCACAAACAAGTTTCTGAGAATGCTTCTGTCTAGTTTTTATGGGAAGATATTTCCTTTTTCACCTTAGGCCTGAAAGCAATCCAAATGTTCACTTACAGACACTACAAAAAGAGTGTTTCAAACCTGCTCTGTGAAAGGGAGTGTTCAATTACTGTGACTTGAATGCAAACATCACAAAGTAGTTTCTGACAATGCTGCTGTCTGCTTTTTATACGTATTCCCGTTTCCAACGAAATCCTCCAAGCTGGCCTAATACCCACTTGCATATTCCACAAAAAGAGTGTTTCAAAACTGCTCTCTCAAAAGAAAGGTTCAACTCTGTTTGCTGAGTAGATACATCATGAAAAAAGTTCTGACATTGCTTCTATCTAGTTTTTATTGGAAGATATCTCCTTTTTCACCGTAGACCTGAAAGCGCTCCAAATGTCCACTTCCAGATAGTACAAAAAGAGTGTTTCAAACCTGCTCTATGAATGGGAATGTTCAACACTGGGACTTCAATTGAAACATCCCAAAGCAGTTTCTGAGAATGCTTCTGTCTAGAGTTTACATGAAGACATTCCCGTTTCCAACGAAATCCTCAAAGCTATCCAAATATCCTCTTGCAGATTTTACAAAAAGTGTGTTTCAGAACTGCTCTATCAAAACAAAGGTTCAACACTGTCAGTTGAGGGCACACATCACAAATAAGTTTCTGAGAATGCTGCTGTCTGCTTTTTGTATGTAATCCCGTTTCCAACGAAATCCTCCCAGCTAGCCAAATATCCACTTGCAGATTCCGCAAAAAGAGTGTTTCAAAACTGCTCCTTCAAAACGATGGTTTAGTTCTGTTAGTTGAGTACATACATCACAGATAAGTTTCTGAGAATGCTTCTGTCTAGTTTTTCTGGGAGGATATTTCCTTTTTCAACACAAGCCTGAATGCGATCCGAATGGACACTTCCAGATATGACAAAAGGCGTGTTTCAAACCTGCTCTCTCAAAGGGAATGTTCAACTCTGTGACTTCAATGCAAACATCACAAAGAAGTTTCTGAGAATGCTGCTGTCTGCTTTTTACATGTATTCCCGTTTCCAACGAAATCCTCAAAGCTGCCTTAATATCCACTTGCATATTCCACAAAAAGAGTGTTGCAAAACTGCTCTCTCAAAAGAAAGGTTCAACTCTGTTAGCTGAGTAGATCCATCACATAAAAGTTTCTGACGTTGCTTCTATCTAGATTTTCTTGGAAGATATTTCCATTTTCACCGTCGTCCTGAATGCGCTCCAATTGGCCACTTCCAGGGAATGCCTAAAGAGTGTTTCCAACCTGCTCTATAAAAGGGAATGTTCAACACTGGGACTTCAATCGAAACATCCCAACGAAGTTTCTGAGAATGCATCTGTCTAGAGTTTATATGAAGCCATTCCGTTTGCAACGAAATCCTCAAAGCTATCCAAATATCCTCTTGCAGATTTTACAAAAAGAGTGTTTCAAAACTGCTCTATCAAAAGAAAGGTTCAACTCTGTTAGTTGAGGGCACACATCAGAAATAAACTTCTGAGAATGCTTCTGTCTAGTTTTTACGGGAAGATATTTCCTTTTTCACCATACGCCTGAAAGCGCTCCAAATGTCCTCATCCAGATACTACAAAAAGAGTGTTTCAAACCTGCTCTATGAAAGGGAATGTTCAACACTGGGACTTCAATTGAAACATCCCAAAGCAGTTTCTGAGAATGCTTCTGTGTAGAGTTTACATGAAGACATTCCCGTTTCCAACGAAATCCTCAAAGCTATCCAAATATCCTCTTGCAGATTTTACAAAAAGTGTGTTTCAGAACTGCTCTATCAAAACAAAGGTTCAACACTGTCAGTTGAGGGCACACATCACAAATAAGTTTCTGAGAATGCTGCTGTCTGCTTTTTGTATGTAATCCCGTTTCCAACGAAATCCTCCCAGCTAGCCAAATATCCACTTGCAGATTCCGCAAAAAGAGTGTTTCAAAACTGCTCCTTCAAAACGATGGTTTAGTTCTGTTAGTTGAGTACATACATCACAGATAAGTTTCTGAGAATGCTTCTGTCTAGTTTTTATGGGAGGATATTTCCTTTTTCAACACAAGCCTGAATGCGCTCCGAATGGACACTTCCAGATATGACAAAAGGCGTGTTTCAAACCTGCTCTCTCAAAGGGAATGTTCAACTCTGTGACTTCAATGCAAACATCACAAAGAAGTTTCTGAGAATGCTGCTGTCTGCTTTTTACATGTATTCCCGTTTCCAACGAAATCCTCAAAGCTGCCCTAATATCCACTTGCATATTCCACAAAAAGAGTGTTGCAAAACTGCTCTCTCAAAAGAAAGGTTCAACTCTGTTAGCTGAGTAGATCCATCACATAAAAGTTTCTGACGTTGCTTCTATCTAGATTTTATTGGAAGATATTTCCATTTTCACCGTCGTCCTGAAAGCGCTCCAAATGTCCACTTCCAGGGAATGCAGAAAGAGTGTTTCCAACCTGCTCTATAAAAGGGAATGTTCAACACTGGGACTTCAATCGCAACATCCCAACGAAGTTTCTGAGAATGCTTCTGTCTAGAGTTTATATGAAGCCATTCCCGTTTGCAACGAAATCCTCAAAGCTATCCAAATATCCTCTTGCAGATTTTACAAAAAGAGTGTTTCAAAACTGCTCTATCAAAAGAAAGGTTCAACTCTGTTAGTTGAGGGCACACATCACAAATAAATTTCTGAGAATGCTTCTGTCTAGTTTTTACGGGAAGATATTTCCTTTTTCACCATACGCCTGAAAGCGCTCCAAATGTCCTCATCCAGATACTACAAAAAGAGTGTTTCAAACCTGCTCTATGAAAGGGAATGCTCAACTCTGTGACTTGAATGCAGACATCACAAAGAAGTTTCTGAGAATGCTGCTGTCTCCTTTTTATATGTAATCCCGTTTCCAACGAAATCCTCAAAGCTAGCCAAATATCCACTTGCAGATTCCACGAAAACAGTGTTTCAAAACTGCTCCTTTAAAACGATGGTTCAATTCTGTTAGTTGAGCAAACACATCACAAGTAAGTTTCTGAGAATGCTTCCGTCTAGTTTTTATGGGAAGATATATCCTTTTTCAACATAGGCTTGAAAGCGCTCCAAATGTCCACTTCCAGATACTACAAAAAGAGTGTTTCAAATCTGCTCTATGAATGGGAATGTTCTACTCTGTGACTTGAATGCAACATCCCAAAGAAGTTTCTGAGAATGCTTCTGTCTAGAGTTTATCTGAAGACATCCCCGTTTCCAACGAAATCCTCAAAGCTATCCAAATATCCTCTTGCAGATTCTACAAAAAGAGTGTTTCAAAGCTGCTCTTTGCAAAGAAAGGTTCAACTCTGTCAGTAGAGGGCACACATCACGAACAAGTTTCTGAGAATGCTTCTGTCTAGTTTTTATGGGAAGATATTTCCTTTTTCACGTTAGGCCTGAAAGCACGCCAAATGTTCACTTATAGACACTACAAAAAGAGTGTTTCAAACCTGCTCTGTGAAAGGGAATGTTCAACACTGTGACTTCAATTGAAACATCCCAAAGAAGTTTCTGAGAATGCTTCTGTCTAGAGTTTATCTGAAGACATTCCCGTTTCCCAAGAAATCCTCAAAGCTATCCAAATATCCTCTTGCAGATTCTACAAAAAGAGTGTTTCAAAACTGCTCTTTGCAAAGAAAGGTTCAACTCTGTCAGTAGAGGGCACACATCACAAACAAGTTTCTGAGAATGCTTCTGTCTAGTTTTTATGGGAAGATATTTCCTTTTTCACCTTAGGCCTGAAAGCAATCCAAATGTTCACTTACAGACACTACAAAAAGAGTGTTTCAAACCTGCTCTGTGAAAGGGAGTGTTCAATTCTGTGACTTGAATGCAAACATCACAAAGTAGTTTCTGACAATGCTGCTGTCTGCTTTTTATACGTATTCCCGTTTCCAACGAAATCCTCCAAGCTGGCCTAATACCCACTTGCATATTCCACAAAAAGAGTGTTTCAAAACTGCTCTCTCAAAAGAAAGGTTCAACTCTGTTTGCTGAGTAGATACATCATGAAAAAAGTTCTGACATTGCTTCTATCTAGTTTTTATTGGAAGATATCTCCTTTTTCACCGTAGACCTGAAAGCGCTCCAAATGTCCACTTCCAGATAGTACAAAAAGAGTGTTTCAAACCTGCTCTATGAATGGGAATGTTCAACACTGGGACTTCAATTGAAACATCCCAAAGCAGTTTCTGAGAATGCTTCTGTGTAGAGTTTACATGAAGACATTCCCGTTTCCAACGAAATCCTCAAAGCTATCCAAATATCCTCTTGCAGATTTTACAAAAAGTGTGTTTCAGAACTGCTCTATCAAAACAAAGGTTCAACACTGTCAGTTGAGGGCACACATCACAAATAAGTTTCTGAGAATGCTGCTGTCTGCTTTTTGTATGTAATCCCGTTTCCAACGAAATCCTCCCAGCTAGCCAAATATCCACTTGCAGATTCCGCAAAAAGAGTGTTTCAAAACTGCTCCTTCAAAACGATGGTTTAGTTCTGTTAGTTGAGTACATACATCACAGATAAGTTTCTGAGAATGCTTCTGTCTAGTTTTTATGGGAGGATATTTCCTTTTTCAACACAAGCCTGAATGCGCTCCGAATGGACACTTCCAGATATGACAAAAGGCGTGTTTCAAACCTGCTCTCTCAAAGGGAATGTTCAACTCTGTGACTTCAATGCAAACATCACAAAGAAGTTTCTGAGAATGCTGCTGTCTGCTTTTTACATGTATTCCCGTTTCCAACGAAATCCTCAAAGCTGCCCTAATATCCACTTGCATATTCCACAAAAAGAGTGTTGCAAAACTGCTCTCTCAAAAGAAAGGTTCAACTACTGTTAGCTGAGTAGATCCATCACATAAAAGTTTCTGACATTGCTTCTATCCAGATTTTATTGGAAGATATTTCCATTTTCACCGTCGTCCTGAAAGCGCTCCAAATGTCCACTTCCAGGGAATGCAGAAAGAGTGTTTCCAACCTGCTCTATAAAAGGGAATGTTCAACACTGGGACTTCAATCGAAACATCCCGACGAAGTTTCTGAGAATGCTTCTGTCTAGAGTTTATATGAAGCCATTCCCGTTTGCAACGAAATCCTCAAAGCTATCCAAATATCCTCTTGCAGATTTTACAAAATGAGTGTTTCAAAACTGCTCTATCAAAAGAAAGGTTCAAGTCTGTTAGTTGAGGGCACACATCACAAATAAACTTCTGAGAATGCTTCTGTCTAGTTTTTACGGGAAGATATTTCCTTTTTCACCATACGCCTGAAAGCGCTCCAAATGTCCTCATCCAGATACTACAAAAAGAGTGTTTCCAACCTGCTCTATGAAAGGGAATGCTCAACTCTGTGAATTGAATGCAGACATCACAAAGAAGTTTCTGAGAATGCTGCTGTCTCCTTTTTATATGTAATCCCGTTTCCAACGAAATCCTCAAAGCTAGCCAAATATCCACTTGCAGATTCCACGAAAACAGTGTTTCAAAACTGCTCCTTTCAAAACGATGGTTCAATCCTGTTAGTTGAGCAAACACATCACAAATAAGTTTCTGAGAATGCTTCCGTCTAGTTTTTATGGGAAGATATTTCCTTTTTCAACATAGGCCTGAAAGCGCTCCAAATGTCCACTTCCAGATACTACAAAAAGAGTGTTTCAAATCTGCTCTATGAATGGGAATGTTCTACTCTGTGACTTGAATGCAACATCCCAAAGAAGTTTCTGAGAATGCTTCTGTCTGGAGTTTATCTGAAGACATACCCGTTTCCAACGAAATCCTCCAAGCTATCCAAATATCCTCTTGCAGATTCTACAAAAAGAGTGTTTCAAAGCTGCTCTTTGCAAAGAAAGGTTCAACTCTGTCAGTAGAGGGGACACATCAAGAACAAGTTTCTGAGAATGCTTCTGTCTAGTTTTTATGGGAAGATATTTCCTTTTTCACGTTAGGCCTGAAAGCACGCCAAATGTTCACTTATAGACACTACAAAAAGAGTGTTTCAAACCTGCTCTGTGAAAGGGAATGTTCAACACTGTGACTTCAATTGAAACATCCCAAAGAAGTTTCTGAGAATGCTTCTGTCTAGAGTTTATCTGAAGACATTCCCGTTTCCCAAGAAATCCTCAAAGCTATCCAAATATCCTCTTGCAGATTCTACAAAAAGAGTGTTTCAAAACTGCTCTTTGCAAAGAAAGGTTCAACTCTGTCAGTAGAGGGCACACATCACAAACAAGTTTCTGAGAATGCTTCTGTCTAGTTTTTATGGGAAGATATTTCCTTTTTCACCTTAGGCCTGAAAGCAATCCAAATGTTCACTTACAGACACTACAAAAAGAGTGTTTCAAACCTGCTTTGTGAAAGGGAGTGTTCAATTCTGTGACTTGAATGCAAACATCTCAAAGTAGTTTCTGACAATGCTGCTGTCTGCTTTTTATACGTATTCCCGTTTCCAACGAAATCCTCCAAGCTGGCCTAATACCCACTTGCATATTCCACAAAAAGAGTGTTTCAAAACTGCTCTCTCAAAAGAAAGGTTCAACTCTGTTTGCTGAGTAGATACATCATGAAAAAAGTTCTGACATTGCTTCTATCTAGTTTTTATTGGAAGATATCTCCTTTTTCACCGTAGACCTGAAAGCGCTCCAAATGTCCACTTCCAGATAGTACAAAAAGAGTGTTTCAAACCTGCTCTATGAATGGGAATGTTCAACACTGGGACTTCAATTGAAACATCCCAAAGCAGTTTCTGAGAATGCTTCTGTCTAGAGTTTACATGAAGACATTCCCGTTTCCAACGAAATCCTCAAAGCTATCCAAATATCCTCTTGCAGATTTTACAAAAAGTGTGTTTCAGAACTGCTCTATCAAAACAAAGGTTCAACACTGTCAGTTGAGGGCACACATCACAAATAAGTTTCTGAGAATGCTTCTGTCTAGTTTTCATGGGAAGATATTTCCTTTTTCACCATAGGCCTGAAAGCGATCCAAATGTCCACATCCAGATACTACAAAAAGAGTGTTTCAAACCTGCTCTATGAAAGGGAATGTTCAACTCTGTGACTTGAATGCAAACATCACAAAGAAGTTTCTGAGAATGCTGCTGTCTCCTTTTTATATGTAATCCCGTTTCCAACGAAATCCTCAAAGCTAGCCAAATATCCACTTGCAGATTCCACGAAAACAGTGTTTCAAAACTGCTCCTTCAAAACGATGGTTCAATCCTGTTAGTTGAGCAAACACATCACAAATAAGTTTCTGAGAATGCTTCCGTCTAGTTTTTATGGGAAGATATTTCCTTTTTCAACATAGGCCTGAAAGCGCTCCAAATGTCCACTTCCAGATACTACAAAAAGAGTGTTTCAAATCTGCTCTATGAATGGGAATGTTCTACTCTGTGACTTGAATGCAACATCCCAAAGAAGTTTCTGAGAATGCTTCTGTCTAGAGTTTATCTGAAGACATACCCGTTTCCAACGAAATCCTCAAAGCTATCCAAATATCCTCTTGCAGATTCTACAAAAAGAGTGTTTCAAAGCTGCTCTTTGCAAAGAAAGGTTCAACTCTGTCAGTAGAGGGCACACATCACGAACAAGTTTCTGAGAATGCTTCTGTCTAGTTTTTATGGGAAGATATTTCCTTTTTCACGTTAGGCCTGAAAGCACGCCAAATGTTCACTTATAGACACTACAAAAAGAGTGTTTCAAACCTGCTCTGTGAAAAGGAATGTTCAACACTGTGACTTCAATTGAAACATCCCAAAGAAGTTTCTGAGAATGCTTCTGTCTAGAGTTTATCTGAAGACATACCCGTTTCCAACGAAATCCTCAAAGCTATCCACATATCCTCTTGCAGATTCTACAAAAAGAGTGTTTCAAAGCTGCTCTTTGCAAAGAAAGGTTCAACTCTGTCAGTAGAGGGCACACATCACGAACAAGTTTCTGAGAATGCTTCTGTCTAGTTTTTATGGGAAGATATTTCCTTTTTCACGTTAGGCCTGAAAGCACGCCAAATGTTCAATTATAGACACTACAAAAAGAGTGTTTCAAACCTGCTCTGTGAAAGGGAATGTTCAACACTGTGACTTCAATTGAAACATCCCAAAGAAGTTTCTGAGAATGCTTCTGTCTAGAGTTTATCTGAAGACATTCCCGTTTCCCAAGAAATCCTCAAAGCTATCCAAATATCCTCTTGCAGATTCTACAAAAAGAGTGTTTCAAAACTGCTCTTTGCAAAGAAAGGTTCAACTCTGTCAGTAGAGGGCACACATCACAAACAAGTTTCTGAGAATGCTTCTGTCTAGTTTTTATGGGAAGATATTTCCTTTTTCACCTTAGGCCTGAAGGCAATCCAAATGTTCACTTACAGACACTACAAAAAGAGTGTTTCAAACCTGCTCTGTGAAAGGGAGTGTTCAATTCTGTGACTTGAATGCAAACATCACAAAGTAGTTTCTGACAATGCTGCTGTCTGCTTTTTATACGTATTCCCGTTTCCAACGAAATCCTCCAAGCTGGCCTAATACCCACTTGCATATTCCACAAAAAGAGTGTTTCAAAACTGCTCTCTCAAAAGAAAGGTTCAACTCTGTTAGCTGAGTAGATACATCATGAAAAAAGTTCTGACATTGCTTCTATCTAGTTTTTATTGGAAGATATCTCCTTTTTCACCGTAGACCTGAAAGCGCTCCAAATGTCCACTTCCAGATAGTACAAAAAGAGTGTTTCAAACCTGCTCTATGAATGGGAATGTTCAACACTGGGACTTCAATTGAAACATCCCAAAGCAGTTTCTGAGAATGCTTCTGTCTAGAGTTTACATGAAGACATTCCCGTTTCCAACGAAATCCTCAAAGCTATCCAAATATCCTCTTGCAGATTTTACAAAAAGTGTGTTTCAGAACTGCTCTATCAAAACAAAGGTTCAACACTGTCAGTTGAGGGCACACATCACAAATAAGTTTCTGAGAATGCTGCTGTCTGCTTTTTGTATGTAATCCCGTTTCCAACGAAATCCTCCCAGCTAGCCAAATATCCACTTGCAGATTCCGCAAAAAGAGTGTTTCAAAACTGCTCCTTCAAAACGATGGTTTAGTTCTGTTAGTTGAGTACATACATCACAGATAAGTTTCTGAGAATGCTTCTGTCTAGTTTTTATGGGAGGATATTTCCTTTTTCAACACAAGCCTGAATGCGCTCCGAATGGACACTTCCAGATATGACAAAAGGCGTGTTTCAAACCTGCTCTCTCAAAGGGAATGTTCAACTCTGTGACTTCAATGCAAACATCACAAAGAAGTTTCTGAGAATGCTGCTGTCTGCTTTTTACATGTATTCCCGTTTCCAACGAAATCCTCAAAGCTGCCCTAATATCCACTTGCATATTCCACAAAAAGAGTGTTGCAAAACTGCTCTCTCAAAAGAAAGGTTCAACTCTGTTAGCTGAGTAGATCCATCACAGAAAAGTTTCTGACGTTGCTTCTATCTAGATTTTCTTGGAAGATATTTCCATTTTCACCGTCGTCCTGAAAGCGCTCCAAATGTCCACTTCCAGGGAATGCAGAAAGAGTGTTTCCAACCTGCTCTATAAAAGGGAATGTTCAACACTGGGACTTCAATCGAAACATCCCAACGAAGTTTCTGAGAATGCTTCTGTCTAGATTTTATATGAAGCCATTCCCGTTTGCAACGAAATCCTCAAAGCTATCCAAATATCCTCTTGCAGATTTTACAAAAAGAGTGTTTCAAAACTGCTCTATCAAAAGAAAGGTTCAACTCTGTTAGTTGAGGGCACACATCACAAATAAATTTCTGAGAATGCTTCTGTCTAGTTTTTACGGGAAGATATTTCCTTTTTCACCATACGCCTGAAAGCGCTCCAAATGTCCTCATCCAGATACTACAAAAAGAGTGTTTCCAACCTGCTCTATGAAAGGGAATGCTCAACTCTGTGACTTGAATGCAGACATCACAAAGAAGTTTCTGAGAATGCTGCTGTCTCCTTTGTATATGTAATCCCGTTTCCAACGAAATCCTCAAAGCTAGCCAAATATCCACTTGCAGATTCCATGAAAACAGTGTTTCAAAACTGCTCCTTCAAAACGATGGTTCAATCCTGTTAGTTGAGCAAACACATCACAAATAAGTTTCTGAGAATGCTTCCGTCTAGTTTTTATGGGAAGATATTTCCTTTTTCAACATAGGCCTGAAAGCGCTCCAAATGTCCACTTCCAGATACTACAAAAAGAGTGTTTCAAATCTGCTCTATGAATGGGAATGTTCTACTCTGTGACTTGAATGCAACATCCCAAAGAAGTTTCTGAGAATGCTTCTGTCTAGAGTTTATCTGAAGACATACCCGTTTCCAACGAAATCCTCAAAGCTATCCAAATATCCTCTTGCAGATTCTACAAAAAGTGTGTTTCAAAGCTGCTCTTTGCAAAGAAAGGTTCAACTCTATCAGTAGAGGGCACACATCACGAACAAGTTTCTGAGAATGCTTCTGTCTAGTTTTTATGGGAAGATATTTCCTTTTTCACGTTAGGCCTGAAAGCACGCCAAATGTTCACTTATAGACACTACAAAAAGAGTGTTTCAAACCTGCTCTGTGAAAGGGAATGTTCAACACTGTGACTTCAATTGAAACATCCCAAAGAAGTTTCTGAGAATGCTTCTGTCTAGAGTTTATCTGAAGACATTCCCGTTTCCCAAGAAATCCTCAAAGCTATCCAAATATCCTCTTGCAGATTCTACAAAAAGAGTGTTTCAAAACTGCTCTTTGCAAAGAAAGGTTCAACTCTGTCAGTAGAGGGCACACATCACAAACAAGTTTCTGAGAATGCTTCTGTCTAGTTTTTATGGGAAGATATTTCCTTTTTCACCTTAGGCCTGAAAGCAATCCAAATGTTCACTTACAGACACTACAAAAAGAGTGTTTCAAACCTGCTCTGTGAAAGGCAGTGTTCCATTCTGTGACTTGCATGCAAACATCACAAAGTAGTTTCTGACAATGCTGCTGTCTGCTTTTTATACGTATTCCCGTTTCCAACGAAATCCTCCAAGCTGGCCTAATACCCACTTGCATATTCCACAAAAGGAGTGTTTCAAAACTGCTCTCTCAAAAGAAAGGTTCAACTCTGTTTGCTGAGTAGATACATCATGAAAAAAGTTCTGACATTGCTTCTGTCTAGTTTTTACGGGAAGATATTTCCTTTTTCACCAAACGCCTGAAAGCGCTCCAAATGTCCTCATCCAGATACTACAAAAAGAGTGTTTCAAACCTGCTCTATGAAAGGGAATGTTCAACACTGGGACTTCAATTGAAACATCCCAAAGCAGTTTCTGAGAATGCTTCTGTCTAGAGTTTACATGAAGACATTCCCTTTTCCAACGAAATCCTCAAAGCTATCCAAATATCCTCTTGCAGATTTTACAAAAAGTGTGTTTCAGAACTGCTCTATCAAAACAAAGGTTCAACACTGTCAGTTGAGGGCACACATCACAAATAAGTTTCTGAGAATGCTTCTGTCTAGTTTTCATGGGAAGATATTTCCTTTTTCACCATAGGCCTGAAAGCGATCCAAATGTCCACATCCAGATACTACAAAAAGAGTGTTTCAAACCTGCTCTATGAAAGGGAATGTTCAACTCTGTGACTTGAATGCAAACATCACAAAGAAGTTTCTGAGAATGCTGCTGTCTCCTTTTTATATGTAATCCCGTTTCCAACGAAATCCTCAAAGCTAGCCAAATATCCACTTGCAGATTCCACGAAAACAGTGTTTCAAAACTGCTCCTTCAAAACGATGGTTCAATCCTGTTAGTTGAGCAAACACATCACAAATAAGTTTCTGAGAATGCTTCCGTCTAGTTTTTATGGGAAGATATTTCCTTTTTCAACATAGGCCTGAAAGCGCTCCAAATGTCCACTTCCAGATACTACAAAAAGAGTGTTTCAAATCTGCTCTATGAATGGGAATGTTCTACTCTGTGACTTGAATGCAACATCCCAAAGAAGTTTCTGAGAATGCTTCTGTCTAGAGTATATCTGAAGACATACCCGTTTCCAACGAAATCCTCAAAGCTATCCAAATATCCTCTTGCAGATTCTACAAAAAGTGTGTTTCAAAGCTGCTCTTTGCAAAGAAAGGTTCAACTCTGTCAGTAGAGGGCACACATCACGAACAAGTTTCTGAGAATGCTTCTGTCTAGTTTTTATGGGAAGATATTTCCTTTTTCACGTTACGCCTGAAAGCACGCCAAATGTTCACTTATAGACACTACAAAAAGAGTGTTTCAAACCTGCTCTGTGAAAGGGAATGTTCAACACTGTGACTTCAATTGAAACATCCCAAAGAAGTTTCTGAGAATGCTTCTGTCTAGAGTTTATCTGAAGACATTCCCGTTTCCCAAGAAATCCTCAAAGCTATCCAAATATCCTCTTGCAGATTCTACAAAAAGAGTGTTTCAAAACTGCTCTTTGCAAAGAAAGGTTCAACTCTGTCAGTAGAGGGCACACATCACAAACAAGTTTCTGAGAATGCTTCTGTCTAGTTTTTATGGGAAGATATTTCCTTTTTCACCTTAGGCCTGAAAGCAATCCATATGTTCACTTACAGACACTACAAAAAGAGTGTTTCAAACCTGCTCTGTGAAAGGGAGTGTTCAATTCTGTGACTTGAATGCAAACATCACAAAGTAGTTTCTGACAATGCTGCTGTCTGCTTTTTATACGTATTCCCGTTTCCAACGAAATCCTCCAAGCTGGCCTAATACCCACTTTCATATTCCACAAAAAGAGTGTTTCAAAACTGCTCTCTCAAAAGAAAGGTTCAACTCTGTTTGCTGAGTAGATACATCATGAAAAAAGTTCTGACATTGCTTCTATCTAGTTTTTATTGGAAGATATCTCCTTTTTCACCGTAGACCTGAAAGCGCTCCAAATGTCCACTTCCAGATAGTACAAAAAGAGTGTTTCAAACCTGCTCTATGAAAGGGAATGTTCAACACTGGGACTTCAATTGAAACATCCCAAAGCAGTTTCTGAGAATGCTTCTGTCTAGAAGTTTACATGAAGACATTCCCGTTTCCAACGAAATCCTCAAAGCTATCCAAATATCCTCTTGCAGATTTTACAAAAAGTGTGTTTCAGAACTGCTCTATCAAAACAAAGGTTCAACACTGTCAGTTGAGGGCACACATCACAAATAAGTTTCTGAGAATGCTTCTGTCTAGTTTTCATGGGAAGATATTTCCTTTTTCACCATAGGCCTGAAAGCGATCCAAATGTCCACATCCAGATACTACAAAAAGAGTGTTTCAAACCTGCTCTATGAAAGGGAATGTTCAACTCTGTGACTTGAATGCAAACATCACAAAGAAGTTTCTGAGAATGCTGCTGTCTCCTTTTTATATGTAATCCCGTTTCCAACGAAATCCTCAAAGCTAGCCAAATATCCACTTGCAGATTCCACGAAAACAGTGTTTCAAAACTGCTCCTTCAAAACGATGGTTCAATCCTGTTAGTTGAGCAAACACATCACAAATAAGTTTCTGAGAATGCTTCCCGTCTAGTTTTTATGGGAAGATATTTCCTTTTTCAACATAGGCCTGAAAGCGCTCCAAATGTCCACTTCCAGATACTACAAAAAGAGTGTTTCAAATCTGCTCTATGCATGGGAATGTTCTACTCTGTGACTTGAATGCAACATCCCAAAGAAGTTTCTGAGAATGTTTCTGTCTAGAGTTTATCTGAAGACATACCCGTTTCCAACGAAATCCTCAAAGCTATCCAAATATCCTCTTGCAGATTCTACAAAAAGAGTGTTTCAAAGCTGCTCTTTGCAAAGAAAGGTTCAACTCTGTCAGTAGAGGGCACACATCACGAACAAGTTTCTGAGAATGCTTCTGTCTAGTTTTTATGGGAAGATATTTCCTTTTCCACGTTAGGCCTGAAAGCACGCCAAATGTTCACTTATAGACACTACAAAAAGAGTGTTTCAAACCTGCTCTGTGAAAGGGAATGTTCAACACTGTGACTTCAATTGAAACATCCCAAAGAAGTTTCTGAGAATGCTTCTGTCTAGACTTTATCTGAAGACATTCCCGTTTCCCAAGAAATCCTCAAAGCTATCCAAATATCCTCTTGCAGATTCTACAAAAAGAGTGTTTCAAAACTGCTCTTTGCAAAGAAAGGTTCAACTCTGTCAGTAGAGGGCACACATCACAAACAAGTTTCTGAGAATGCTTCTGTCTAGTTTTTATGGGAAGATATTTCCTTTTTCACCTTAGGCCTGAAAGCAATCCAAATGTTCACTTACAGACACTACAAAAAGAGTGTTTCAAACCTGCTCTGTGAAAGGGAGTGTTCAGTTCTGTGACTTGAATGCAAACATCACAAAGTAGTTTCTGACAATGCTGCTGTCTGCTTTTTATACGTATTCCCGTTTCCAACGAAATCCTCCAAGCTGGCCTAATACCCACTTGCATATTCCACAAAAAGAGTGTTTCAAAACTGCTCTCTCAAAAGAAAGGTTCAACTCTGTTTGCTGAGTAGATACATCATGAAAAAAGTTCTGACATTGCTTCTATCTAGTTTTTATTGGAAGATATCTCCTTTTTCACCGTAGACCTGAAAGCGCTCCAAATGTCCACTTCCAGATAGTACAAAAAGAGTGTTTCAAACCTGCTCTATGAAAGGGAATGTTCAACACTGGGACTTCAATTGAAACATCCCAAAGCAGTTTCTGAGAATGCTTCTGTCTAGAGTTTACATGAAGACATTCCCGTTTCCAACGAAATCCTCAAAGCTATCCAAATATCCTCTTGCAGATTTTACAAAAAGTGTGTTTCAGAACTGCTCTATCAAAACAAAGGTTCAACACTGTCAGTTGAGGGCACACATCACAAATAAGTTTCTGAGAATGCTGCTGTCTGCTTTTTGTATGTAATCCCGTTTCCAACGAAATCCTCCCAGCTAGCCAAATATCCACTTGCAGATTCCGCAAAAAGAGTGTTTCAAAACTGCTCCTTCAAAACGATGGTTTAGTTCTGTTAGTTGAGTACATACATCACAGATAAGTTTCTGAGAATGCTTCTGTCTAGTTTTTCTGGGAGGATATTTCCTTTTTCAACACAAGCCTGAATGCGCTCCGAATGGACACTTCCAGATATGACAAAAGGCGTGTTTCAAACCTGCTCTCTCAAAGGGAATGTTCAACTCTGTGACTTGAATGCAAACATCACAAAGAAGTTTCTGAGAATGCTGCTGTCTGCTTTTTACATGTATTCCCGTTTCCAACGAAATCCTCAAAGCTGCCCTAATATCCACTTGCATATTCCACAAAAAGAGTGTTGCAAAACTGCTCTCTCAAAAGAAAGGTTCAACTCTGTTAGCTGAGTAGATCCATCACAGAAAAGTTTCTGACATTGCTTCTATCTAGATTTTCTTGGAAGATATTTCCATTTTCACCGTCGTCCTGAAAGCGCTCCAAATGTCCACTTCCAGGGAATGCAAAAAGAGTGTTTCCAACCTGCTCTATAAAAGGGAATGTTCAACACTGGGACTTCAATCGAAACATCCCAACGAAGTTTCTGAGAATGCTTCTGTCTAGAGTTTATATGAAGCCATTCCCGTTTGCAACGAAATCCTCAAAGCTATCCAAATATCCTCTTGCAGATTTTACAAAAAGAGTGTTTCAAAACTGCTCTATCAAAAGAAAGGTTCAACTCTGTTAGTTGAGGGCACACATCAGAAATAAACTTCTGAGAATGCTTCTGTCTAGTTTTTACGGGAAGATATTTCCTTTTTCACCATACGCCTGAAAGCGCTCCAAATGTCCTCATCCAGATACTACAAAAAGAGTGTTTCCAACCTGCTCTATGAAAGGGAATGCTCAACTCTGTGAATTGAATGCAGACATCACAAAGAAGTTTCTGAGAATGCTGCTGTCTCCTTTTTATATGTAATCCCGTTTCCAACGAAATCCTCAAAGCTAGCCAAATATCCACTTGCAGATTCCACGAAAACAGTGTTTCAAAACTGCTCCTTCAAAACGATGGTTCAATTCTGTTAGTTGAGCAAACACATCACAAGTAAGTTTCTGAGAATGCTTCCGTCTAGTTTTTATGGGAAGATATTTCCTTTTTCAACATAGGCCTGAAAGCGCTCCAAATGTCCACTTCCAGAAACTACAAAAAGAGTGTTTCAAATCTGCTCTATGAATGGGAATGTTCTACTCTGTGACTTGAATGCAACATCCCAAAGAAGTTTCTGAGAATGCTTCTGTCTAGAGTTTATCTGAAGACATACCCGTTTCCAACGAAATCCTCCAAGCTATCCAAATACCCTCTTGCAGATTCTACAAAAAGAGTGTTTCAAAGCTGCTCTTTGCAAAGAAAGGTTCAACTCTGTCAGTAGAGGGCACACATCACGAACAAGTTTCTGAGAATGCTTCTGTCTAGTTTTTATGGGAAGATATTTCCTTTTTCACGTTAGGCCTGAAAGCACGCCAAATGTTCACTTATAGACACTACAAAAAGAGTGTTTCAAACCTGCTCTGTGAAAGGGAATGTTCAACACTGTGACTTCAATTGAAACATCCCAAAGAAGTTTCTGAGAATGCTTCTGTCTAGAGTTTATCTGAAGACATTCCCGTTTCCCAAGAAATCTTCAAAGCTATCCAAATATCCTCTTGCAGATTCTACAAAAAGAGTGTTTCAAAACTGCTCTTTGCAAAGAAAGGTTCAACTCTGTCAGTAGAGGGCACACATCACAAACAAGTTTCTGAGAATGCTTCTGTCTAGTTTTTATGGGAAGATATTTCCTTTTTCACCTTAGGCCTGAAAGCAATCCAAATGTTCACTTACAGACACTACAAAAAGAGTGTTTCAAACCTGCTCTGTGAAAGGCAGTGTTCCATTCTGTGACTTGCATGCAAACATCACAAAGTAGTTTCTGACAATGCTGCTGTCTGCTTTTTATACGTATTCCCGTTTCCAACGAAATCCTCCAAGCTGGCCTAATACCCACTTGCATATTCCACAAAAAGAGTGTTTCAAAACTGCTCTCTCAAAAGAAAGGTTCAACTCTGTTTGCTGAGTAGATACATCATGAAAAAAGTTCTGACATTGCTTCTATCTAGTTTTTATTGGAAGATATCTCCTTTTTCACCGTAGACCTGAAAGCGCTCCAAATGTCCACTTCCAGATAGTACAAAAAGAGTGTTTCAAACCTGCTCTATGAAAGGGAATGTTCAACACTGGGACTTCAATTGAAACATCCCAAAGCAGTTTCTGAGAATGCTTCTGTCTAGAAGTTTACATGAAGACATTCCCGTTTCCAACGAAATCCTCAAAGCTATCCAAATATCCTCTTGCAGATTTTACAAAAAGTGTGTTTCAGAACTGCTCTATCAAAACAAAGGTTCAACACTGTCAGTTGAGGGCACACATCACAAATAAGTTTCTGAGAATGCTTCTGTCTAGTTTTCATGGGAAGATATTTCCTTTTTCACCATAGGCCTGAAAGCGATCCAAATGTCCACATCCAGATACTACAAAAAGAGTGTTTCAAACCTGCTCTATGAAAGGGAATGTTCAACTCTGTGACTTGAATGCAAACATCACAAAGAAGTTTCTGAGAATGCTGCTGTCTCCTTTTTATAGGTAATCCCGTTTCCAACGAAATCCTCAAAGCTAGCCAAATATCCACTTGCAGATTCCACGAAAACAGGGTTTCAAAACTGCTCCTTCAAAACGATGGTTCAATTCTGTTAGTTGAGCAAACACATCAGAAATAAGTTTCTGAGAATGCTTCCGTCTAGTTTTTATGGGAAGATATTTCCTTTTTCAACATAGGCCTGAAAGCGCTCCAAATGTCCACTTCCAGATACTACAAAAAGAGTGTTTCAAATCTGCTCTATGAATGGGAATGTTCTACTCTGTGACTTGCATGCAACATCCCAAAGAAGTTTCTGAGAATGCTTCTGTCTAGAGTTTATCTGAAGACATACCCGTTTCCAACGAAATCCTCAAAGCTATCCAAATATCCTCTTGCAGATTCTACAAAAAGTGTGTTTCAAAGCTGCTCTTTGCAAAGAAAGGTTCAACTCTGTCAGTAGAGGGCACACATCACTAACAAGTTTCTGAGAATGCTTCTGTCTAGTTTTTATGGGAAGATATTTCCTTTTTCACGTTACGCCTGAAAGCACGCCAAATGTTCACTTATAGACACTACAAAAAGAGTGTTTCAAACCTGCTCTGTGAAAGGGAATGTTCAACACTGTGACTTCAATTGAAACATCCCAAAGAAGTTTCTGAGAATGCTTCTGTCTAGAGTTTATCTGAAGACATTCCCGTTTCCCAAGAAATCCTCAAAGCTATCCAAATATCCTCTTGCAGATTCTACAAAAAGAGTGTTTCAAAACTGCTCTTTGAAAAGAAAGGTTCAACTCTGTCAGTAGAGGGCACACATCACAAACAAGTTTCTGAGAATGCTTCTGTCTAGTTTATATGGGAAGATATTTCCTTTTTCACCTTAGGCCTGAAAGCAATCCAAATGTTCACTTACAGACACTACAAAAAGAGAGTTTCAAACCTGCTCTGTGAAAGGGAGTGTTCAATTCTGTGACTTGAATGCAAACATCACAAAGTAGTTTCTGACAATGCTGCTGTCTGCTTTTTATACGTATTCCCGTTTCCAACGAAATCCTCCAAGCTGGCCTAATACCCACTTGCATATTCCACAAAAGGAGTGTTTCAAAACTGCTCTCTCAAAAGAAAGGTTCAACTCTGTTTGCTGAGTAGATACATCATGAAAAAAGTTCTGACATTGCTTCTATCTAGTTTTTATTGGAAGATATCTCCTTTTTCACCGTAGACCTGAAAGCGCTCCAAATGTCCACTTCCAGATAGTACAAAAAGAGTGTTTCAAACCTGCTCTATGAATGGGAATGTTCAACACTGGGACTTCAATTGAAACATCCCAAAGCAGTTTCTGAGAATGCTTCTGTGTAGAGTTTACATGAAGACATTCCCGTTTCCAACGAAATCCTCAAAGCTATCCAAATATCCTCTTGCAGATTTTACAAAAAGTGTGTTTCAGAACTGCTCTATCAAAACAAAGGTTCAGCACTGTCAGTTGAGGGCACACATCACAAATAAGTTTCTGAGAATGCTTCTGTCTAGTTTTCATGGGAAGATATTTCCTTTTTCACCATAGGCCTGAAAGCGATCCAAATGTCCACATCCAGATACTACAAAAAGAGTGTTTCAAACCTGCTCTATGAAAGGGAATGTTCAACTCTGTGACTTGAATGCAAACATCACAAAGAAGTTTCTGAGAATGCTGCTGTCTGCTTTTTGTATGTAATCCCGTTTCCAACGAAATCCTCCCAGCTAGCCAAATATCCACTTGCAGATTCCGCAAAAAGAGTGTTTCAAAACTGCTCCTTCAAAACGATGGTTTAGTTCTGTTAGTTGAGTACATACATCACAGATAAGTTTCTGAGAATGCTTCTGTCTAGTTTTTATGGGAGGATATTTCCTTTTTCAACACAAGCCTGAATGCGCTCCGAATGGACACTTCCAGATATGACAAAAGGCGTGTTTCAAACCTGCTCTCTCAAAGGGAATGTTCAACTCTGTGACTTCAATGCAAACATCACAAACAAGTTTCTGAGAATGCTGCTGTCTGCTTTTTACATGTATTCCCGTTTCCAACGAAATCCTCAAAGCTGCCCTAATATCCACTTGCATATTCCACAAAAAGAGTGTTGCAAAACTGCTCTCTCAAAAGAAAGGTTCAACTCTGTTAGCTGAGTAGATCCATCACAGAAAAGTTTCTGACGTTGCTTCTATCTAGATTTTCTTGGAAGATATTTCCATTTTCACCGTCGTCCTGAAAGCGCTCCAAATGTCCACTTCCAGGGAATGCAGAAAGAGTGTTTCCAACCTGCTCTATAAAAGGGAATGTTCAACACTGGGACTTCAATCGAAACATCCCAACGAAGTTTCTGAGAATGCTTCTGTCTAGAGTTTATATGAAGCCATTCCCGTTTGCAACGAAATCCTCAAAGCTATCCAAATATCCTCTTGCAGATTTTACAAAAAGAGTGTTTCAAAACTGCTCTATCAAAAGAAAGGTTCAACTCTGTTAGTTGAGGGCACACATCACAAATAAACTTCTGAGAATGCTTCTGTCTAGTTTTTACGGGAAGATATTTCCTTTTTCACCATACGCCTGAAAGCGCTCCAAATGTCCTCATCCAGATACTACAAAAAGAGTGTTTCCAACCTGCTCTATGAAAGGGAATGCTCAACTCTGTGAATTGAATGCAGACATCACAAAGAAGTTTCTGAGAATGCTGCTGTCTCCTTTGTATATGTAATCCCGTTTCCAACGAAATCCTCAAAGCTAGCCAAATATCCACTTGCAGATTCCACGAAAACAGTGTTTCAAAACTGCTCCTTCAAAACGATGGTTCAATCCTGTTAGTTGAGCAAACACATCACAAATAAGTTTCTGAGAATGCTTCCGTCTAGTTTTTATGGGAAGATATTTCCTTTTTCAACATAGGCCTGAAAGCGCTCCAAATGTCCACTTCCAGATACTACAAAAAGAGTGTTTCAAATCTGCTCTATGAATGGGAATGTTCTACTCTGTGACTTGCATGCAACATCCCAAAGAAGTTTCTGAGAATGCTTCTGTCTAGAGTTTATCTGAAGACATACCCGTTTCCAACGAAATCCTCAAAGCTATCCAAATATCCTCTTGCAGATTCTACAAAAAGAGTGTTTCAAAGCTGCTCTTTGCAAAGAAAGGTTCAACTCTGTCAGTAGAGGGCACACATCATGAACAAGTTTCTGAGAATGCTTCTGTCTAGTTTTTATGGGAAGACATTTCCTTTTTCACGTTACGCCTGAAAGCACGCCAAATGTTCACTTATAGACACTACAAAAAGAGTGTTTCAAACCTGCTCTGTGAAAGGGAATGTTCAACACTGTGACTTCAATTGAAACATCCCAAAGAAGTTTCTGAGAATGCTTCTGTCTAGAGTTTATCTGAAGACATTCCCGTTTCCCAAGAAATCCTCAAAGCTATCCAAATATCCTCTTGCAGATTCTACAAAAAGAGTGTTTCAAAACTGCTCTTTGCAAAGAAAGGTTCAACTCCGTCAGTAGAGGGCACACATCACAAACAAGTTTCTGAGAATGCTTCTGTCTAGTTTTTATGGGAAGATATTTCCTTTTTCACCTTAGGCCTGAAAGCAATCCAAATGTTCACTTACAGACACTACAAAAAGAGTGTTTCAAACCTGCTCTGTGAAAGGGAGTGTTCAATTCTGTGACTTGAATGCAAACATCACAAAGTAGTTTCTGACAATGCTGCTGTCTGCTTTTTATACGTATTCCCGTTTCCAACGAAATCCTCCAAGCTGGCCTAATACCCACTTGCATATTCCACAAAAATAGTGTTTCAAAACTGCTCCCTCAAAAGAAAGGTTCAACTCTGTTTGCTGAGTAGATACATCATGAAAAAAGTTCTGACATTGCTTCTATCTAGTTTTTATTGGAAGATATCTCCTTTTTCACCGTAGACCTGAAAGCGCTCCAAATGTCCACTTCCAGATAGTACAAAAAGAGTGTTTCAAACCTGCTCTATGAATGGGAATGTTCAACACTGGGACTTCAATTGAAACATCCCAAAGCAGTTTCTGAGAATGCTTCTGTCTAGAGTTTACATGAAGACATTCCCGTTTCCAACGAAATCCTAAAAGCTATCCAAATATCCTCTTGCAGATTTTACAAAAAGTGTGTTTCAGAACTGCTCTATCAAAACAAAGGTTCAACACTGTCAGTTGAGGGCACACATCACAAATAAGTTTCTGAGAATGCTTCTGTCTAGTTTTCATGGGAAGATATTTCCTTTTTCACCATAGGCCTGAAAGCGATCCAAATGTCCACATCCAGATACTACAAAAAGAGTGTTTCAAACCTGCTCTATGAAAGGGAATGTTCAACTCTGTGACTTGAATGCAAACATCACAAAGAAGTTTCTGAGAATGCTGCTGTCTCCTTTTTATATGTAATCCCGTTTCCAACGAAATCCTCAAAGCTAGCCAAATATCCACTTGCAGATTCCACGAAAACAGTGTTTCAAAACTGCTCCTTCAAAACGATGGTTCAATCCTGTTAGTTGAGCAAACACATCACAAATAAGTTTCTGAGAATGCTTCCGTCTAGTTTTTATGGGAAGATATTTCCTTTTTCAACATAGGCCTGAAAGCGCTCCAAATGTCCACTTCCAGATACTACAAAAAGAGTGTTTCAAATCTGCTCTATGAATGGGAATGTTCTACTCTGTGACTTGAATGCAACATCCCAAAGAAGTTTCTGAGAATGCTTCTGTCTAGAGTTTATCTGAAGACATACCCGTTTCCAACGAAATCCTAAAAGCTATCCAAATATCCTCTTGCAGATTCTACAAAAAGAGTGTTTCAAAGCTGCTCTTTGCAAAGAAAGGTTCAACTCTGTCAGTAGAGGGCACACATCATGAACAAGTTTCTGACAATGCTTCTGTCTAGTTTTTATGGGAAGATATTTCCTTTTTCACGTTAGGCCTGAAAGCACGCCAAATGTTCACTTATAGACACTACAAAAAGAGTGTTTCAAACCTGCTCTGTGAAAGGGAATGTTCAACACTGTGACTTCAATTGAAACATCCCAAAGAAGTTTCTGAGAATGCTTCTGTCTAGAGTTTATCTGAAGACATTCCCGTTTCCAAAGAAATCCTCAAAGCTATCCAAATATCCTCTTGCAGATTCTACAAAAAGAGTGTTTCAAAACTGCTCTTTGCAAAGAAAGGTTCAACTCTGTCAGTAGAGGGCACACATCACAAACAAGTTTCTGAGAATGCTTCTGTCTAGTTTTTATGGGAAGATATTTCCTTTTTCACCTTAGGCCTGAAATCAATCCAAATGTTCACTTACAGACACTACAAAAAGAGTGTTTCAAACCTGCTCTGTGAAAGGGAGTGTTCAATTCTGTGACTTGAATGCAAACATCACAAAGTAGTTTCTGACAATGCTGCTGTCTGCTTTTTATACGTATTCCCGTTTCCAACGAAATCCTCCAAGCTGGCCTAATACCCACTTGCATATTCCACAAAAATAGTGTTTCAAAACTGCTCCCTCAAAAGAAAGGTTCAACTCTGTTTGCTGAGTAGATACATCATGAAAAAAGTTCTGACATTGCTTCTATCTAGTTTTTATTGGAAGATATCTCCTTTTTCACCGTAGACCTGAAAGCGCTCCAAATGTCCACTTCCAGATAGTACAAAAAGAGTGTTTCAAACCTGCTCTATGAATGGGAATGTTCAACACTGGGACTTCAATTGAAACATCCCAAAGCAGTTTCTGAGAATGCTTCTGTGTAGAGTTTACATGAAGACATTTCCGTTTCCAACGAAATCCTCAAAGCTATCCAAATATCCTCTTGCAGATTTTACAAAAAGTGTGTTTCAGAACTGCTCTATCAAAACAAAGGTTCAACACTGTCAGTTGAGGGCACACATCACAAATAAGTTTCTGAGAATGCTTCTGTCTAGTTTTCATGGGAAGATATTTCCTTTTTCACCATAGGCCTGAAAGCGATCCAAATGTCCACATCCAGATACTACAAAAAGAGTGTTTCAAACCTGCTCTATGAAAGGGAATGTTCAACTCTGTGACTTGAATGCAAACATCACAAAGAAGTTTCTGAGAATGCTGCTGTCTCCTTTTTATATGTAATCCCGTTTCCAACGAAATCCTCAAAGCTAGCCAAATATCCACTTGCAGATTCCACGAAAACAGTGTTTCAAAACTGCTCCTTCAAAACGATGGTTCAATCCTGTTAGTTGAGCAAACACATCACAAATAAGTTTCTGAGAATGCTTCCGTCTAGTTTTTATGGGAAGATATTTCCTTTTTCAACATAGGCCTGAAAGCGCTCCAAATGTCCACTTCCAGATACTACAAAAAGAGTGTTTCAAATCTGCTCTATGAATGGGAATGTTCTACTCTGTGACTTGAATGCAACATCCCAAAGAAGTTTCTGAGAATGCTTCTGTCTAGAGTTTATCTGAAGACATACCCGTTTCCAACGAAATCCTCCAAGCTATCCAAATATCCTCTTGCAGATTCTACAAAAAGAGTGTTTCAAAGCTGCTCTTTGCAAAGAAAGGTTCAACTCTGTCAGTAGAGGGCACACATCACGAACAAGTTTCTGAGAATGCTTCTGTCTGGTTTTTATGGGAAGATATTTCCTTTTTCACGTTACGCCTGAAAGCACGCCAAATGTTCACTTATAGACACTACAAAAAGAGTGTTTCAAACCTGCTCTGTGAAAGGGAATGTTCAACACTGTGACTTCAATTGAAACATCCCAAAGAAGTTTCTGAGAATGCTTCTGTCTAGAGTTTATCTGAAGACATTCCCGTTTCCCAAGAAATCCTCAAAGCTATCCAAATATCCTCTTGCAGATTCTACAAAAAGAGTGTTTCAAAACTGCTCTTTGCAAAGAAAGGTTCAACTCTGTCAGTAGAGGGCACACATCACAAACAAGTTTCTGAGAATGCTTCTGTCTAGTTTTTATGGGAAGATATTTCCTTTTTCACCTTAGGCCTGAAAGCAATCCAAATGTTCACTTACAGACACTACAAAAAGAGTGTTTCAAACCTGCTCTGTGAAAGGGAGTGTTCAGTTCTGTGACTTGAATGCAAACATCACAAAGTAGTTTCTGACAATGCTGCTGTCTGCTTTTTATACGTATTCCCGTTTCCAACGAAATCCTCCAAGCTGGCCTAATACCCACTTGCATATTCCACAAAAAGAGTGTTTCAAAACTGCTCTCTCAAAAGAAAGGTTCAACTCTGTTTGCTGAGTAGATACATCATGAAAAAAGTTCTGACATTGCTTCTATCTAGTTTTTATTGGAAGATATCTCCTTTTTCACCGTAGACCTGAAAGCGCTCCAAATGTCCACTTCCAGATAGTACAAAAAGAGTGTTTCAAACCTGCTCTATGAAAGGGAATGTTCAACACTGGGACTTCAATTGAAACATCCCAAAGCAGTTTCTGAGAATGCTTCTGTGTAGAGTTTACATGAAGACATTCCCGTTTCCAACGAAATCCTCAAAGCTATCCAAATATCCTCTTGCAGATTTTACAAAAAGTGTGTTTCAGAACTGCTCTATCAAAACAAAGGTTCAACACTGTCAGTTGAGGGCACACATCACAAATAAGTTTCTGAGAATGCTGCTGTCTGCTTTTTGTATGTAATCCCGTTTCCAACGAAATCCTCCCAGCTAGCCAAATATCCACTTGCAGATTCCGCAAAAAGAGTGTTTCAAAACTGCTCCTTCAAAACGATGGTTTAGTTCTGTTAGTTGAGTACATACATCACAGATAAGTTTCTGAGAATGCTTCTGTCTAGTTTTTATGGGAGGATATTTCCTTTTTCAACACAAGCCTGAATGCGCTCCGAATGGACACTTCCAGATATGACAAAAGGCGTGTTTCAAACCTGCTCTCTCAAAGGGAATGTTCAACTCTGTGACTTCAATGCAAACATCACAAAGAAGTTTCTGAGAATGCTGCTGTCTGCTTTTTACATGTATTCCCGTTTCCAACGAAATCCTCAAAGCTGCCCTAATATCCACTTGCATATTCCACAAAAAGAGTGTTGCAAAACTGCTCTCTCAAAAGAAAGGTTCAACTCTGTTAGCTGAGTAGATCCATCACATAAAAGTTTCTGACGTTGCTTCTATCTAGATTTTATTGGAAGATATTTCCATTTTCACTGTCGTCCTGAAAGCGCTCCAAATGTCCACTTCCAGGGAATGCAGAAAGAGTGTTTCCAACCTGCTCTATAAAAGGGAAAGTTCAACACTGGGACTTCAATCGAAACATCCCAAAGAAGTTTCTGAGAATGCTTCTGTCTAGAGTTTATATGAAGCCATTCCCGTTTGCAACGAAATCCTCAAAGCTATCCAAATATCCTCTTGCAGATTTTACAAAAAGAGTGTTTCAAAACTGCTCTATCAAAAGAAAGGTTCAACTCTGTTAGTTGAGGGCACACATCACAAATAAATTTCTGAGAATGCTTCTGTCTAGTTTTTACGGGAAGATATTTCCTTTTTCACCATACGCCTGAAAGCGCTCCAAATGTCCTCATCCAGATACTACAAAAAGAGAGTTTCCAACCTGCTCTATGAAAGGGAATGCTCAACTCTGTGAATTGAATGCAGACATCACAAAGAAGTTTCTGAGAATGCTGCTGTCTCCTTTTTATATGTAATCCCGTTTCCAACGAAATCCTCAAAGCTAGCCAAATATCCACTTGCAGATTCCACGAAAACAGTGTTTCAAAACTGCTCCTTCAAAACGATGGTTCAATCCTGTTAGTTGAGCAAACACATCACAAATAAGTTTCTGAGAATGCTTCCCGTCTAGTTTTTATGGGAAGATATTTCCTTTTTCAACATAGGCCTGAAAGCGCTCCAAATGTCCACTTCCAGATACTACAAAAAGAGTGTTTCAAATCTGCTCTATGCATGGGAATGTTCTACTCTGTGACTTGAATGCAACATCCCAAAGAAGTTTCTGAGAATGTTTCTGTCTAGAGTTTATCTGAAGACATACCCGTTTCCAACGAAATCCTCCAAGCTATCCAAATATCCTCTTGCAGATTCTACAAAAAGAGTGTTTCAAAGCTGCTCTTTGCAAAGAAAGGTTCAACTCTGTCAGTAGAGGGGACACATCAAGAACAAGTTTCTGAGAATGCTTCTGTCTAGTTTTTATGGGAAGATATTTCCTTTTTCACGTTAGGCCTGAAAGCACGCCAAATGTTCACTTATAGACACTACAAAAAGAGTGTTTCAAACCTGCTCTGTGAAAGGGAATGTTCAACACTGTGACTTCAATTGAAACATCCCAAAGAAGTTTCTGAGAATGCTTCTGTCTAGAGTTTATCTGAAGACATTCCCGTTTCCAACGAAATCCTCAAAGCTATCCATATATCCTCTTGCAGATTCTACAAAAAGAGTGTTTCAAAACTGCTCTTTGCAAAGAAAGGTTCAACTCTGTCAGTAGAGGGCACACATCACGAACAAGTTTCTGAGAATGCTTCTGTCTAGTTTTTATGGGAAGATATTTCCTTTTTCACGTTACGCCTGAAAGCACGCCAAATGTTCACTTATAGACACTACAAAAAGAGTGTTTCAAACCTGCTCTGTGAAAGGGAATGTTCAACACTGTGACTTCAATTGAAACATCCCAAAGAAGTTTCTGAGAATGCTTCTGTCTAGAGTTTATCTGAAGACATTCCCGTTTCCCAAGAAATCCTCAAAGCTATCCAAATATCCTCTTGCAGATTCTACAAAAAGAGTGTTTCAAAACTGCTCTTTGCAAAGAAAGGTTCAACTCTGTCAGTAGAGGGCACACATCACAAACAAGTTTCTGAGAATGCTTCTGTCTAGTTTTTATGGGAAGATATTTCCTTTTTCACCTTAGGCCTGAAATCAATCCAAATGTTCACTTACAGACACTACAAAAAGAGTGTTTCAAACCTGCTCTGTGAAAGGGAGTGTTCAATTCTGTGACTTGAATGCAAACATCACAAAGTAGTTTCTGACAATGCTGCTGTCTGCTTTTTATACGTATTCCCGTTTCCAACGAAATCCTCCAAGCTGGCCTAATACCCACTTGCATATTCCACAAAAAGAGTGTTTCAAAACTGCTCTCTCAAAAGAAAGGTTCAACTCTGTTTGCTGAGTAGATACATCATGAAAAAAGTTCTGACATTGCTTCTATCTAGTTTTTATTGGAAGATATCTCCTTTTTCACCGTAGACCTGAAAGCGCTCCAAATGTCCACTTCCAGATAGTACAAAAAGAGTGTTTCAAACCTGCTCTATGAATGGGAATGTTCAACACTGGGACTTCAATTGAAACATCCCAAAGCAGTTTCTGAGAATGCTTCTGTGTAGAGTTTACATGAAGACATTCCCGTTTCCAACGAAATCCTCAAAGCTATCCAAATATCCTCTTGCAGATTTTACAAAAAGTGTGTTTCAGAAGTGCTCTATCAAAACAAAGGTTCAACACTGTCAGTTGAGGGCACACATCACCAATAAGTTTCTGAGAATGCTTCTGTCTAGTTTTCATGGGAAGATATTTCCTTTTTCACCATAGGCCTGAAAGCGATCCAAATGTCCACATCCAGATACTACAAAAAGAGTGTTTCAAACCTGCTCTATGAAAGGGAATGTTCAACTCTGTGACTTGAATGCAAACATCACAAAGAAGTTTCTGAGAATGCTGCTGTCTCCTTTTTATATGTAATCCCGTTTCCAACGAAATCCTCAAAGCTAGCCAAATATCCACTTGCAGATTCCACGAAAACAGTGTTTCAAAACTGCTCCTTCAAAACGATGGTTCAATTCTGTTAGTTGAGCAAACACATCACAAGTAAGTTTCTGAGAATGCTTCCGTCTAGTTTTTATGGGAAGATATTTCCTTTTTCAACATAGGCCTGAAAGCGCTCCAAATGTCCACTTCCAGATACTACAAAAAGAGTGTTTCAAATCTGCTCTATGAATGGGAATGTTCTACTCTGTGACTTGCATGCAACATCCCAAAGAAGTTTCTGAGAATGCTTCTGTCTAGAGTTTATCTGAAGACATACCCGTTTCCAACGAAATCCTCAAAGCTATCCAAATATCCTCTTGCAGATTCTACAAAAAGAGTGTTTCAAAGCTGCTCTTTTCAAAGAAAGGTTCAACTCTGTCAGTAGAGGGTACACATCATGAACAAGTTTCTGAGAATGCTTCTGTCTAGTTTTTATGGGAAGATATTTCCTTTTTCACGTTAGGCCTGAAAGCACGCCAAATGTTCACTTATAGACACTACAAAAAGAGTGTTTCAAACCTGCTCTGTGAAAGGGAATGTTCAACACTGTGACTTCAATTGAAACATCCCAAAGAAGTTTCTGAGAATGCTTCTGTCTAGAGTTTATCTGAAGACATTCCCGTTTCCCAAGAAATCCTCAAAGCTATCCAAATATCCTCTTGCAGATTCTACAAAAAGAGTGTTTCAAAACTGCTCTTTGCAAAGAAAGGTTCAACTCTGTCAGTAGAGGGCACACATCACAAACAAGTTTCTGAGAATGCTTCTGTCTAGTTTTTATGGGAAGATATTTCCTTTTTCACCTTAGGCCTGAAAGCAATCCAAATGTTCACTTACAGACACTACAAAAAGAGTGTTTCAAACCTGCTCTGTGAAAGGGAGTGTTCAATTCTGTGACTTGAATGCAAACATCACAAAGTAGTTTCTGACAATGCTGCTGTCTGCTTTTTATACGTATTCCCGTTTCCAACGAAATCCTCCAAGCTGGCCTAATACCCACTTGCATATTCCACAAAAAGAGTGTTTCAAAACTGCTCTCTCAAAAGAAAGGTTCAACTCTGTTTGCTGAGTAGATACATCATGAAAAAAGTTCTGATATTGCTTCTATCTAGTTTTTATTGGAAGATATCTCCTTTTTCACCGTAGACCTGAAAGCGCTCCAAATGTCCACTTCCAGATAGTACAAAAAGAGTGTTTCAAACCTGCTCTATGAAAGGGAATGTTCAACACTGGGACTTCAATTGAAACCTCCCAAAGCAGTTTCTGAGAATGCTTCTGTCTAGAGTTTACATGAAGACATTCCCGTTTCCAACGAACTCCTCAAAGCTATCCAAATATCCTCTTGCAGATTTTACAAAAAGTGTGTTTCAGAACTGCTCTATCAAAACAAAGGTTCAACACTGTCAGTTGAGGGCACACATCACAAATAAGTTTCTGAGAATGCTTCTGTCTAGTTTTCATGGGAAGATATTTCCTTTTTCACCATAGGCCTGAAAGCGATCCAAATGTCCACATCCAGATACTACAAAAAGAGTGTTTCAAACCTGCTCTATGAAAGGGAATGTTCAACTCTGTGACTTGAATGCAAACATCACAAAGAAGTTTCTGAGAATGCTGCTGTCTCCTTTTTATAGGTAATCCCGTTTCCAACGAAATCCTCAAAGCTAGCCAAATATCCACTTGCAGATTCCACGAAAACAGTGTTTCAAAAGTGCTCCTTCAAAACGATGGTTCAATTCTGTTAGTTGAGCAAACACATCACAAGTAAGTTTCTGAAAATGCTTCCGTCTAGTTTTTATGGCAAGATATTTCCTTTTTCAACATAGGCCTGAAAGCGCTCCAAATGTCCACTTCCAGATACTACAAAAAGAGTGTTTCAAATCTGCTCTATGAATGGGAATGTTCTACTCTGTGACTTGAATGCAACATCCCAAAGAAGTTTCTGAGAATGCTTCTGTCTAGAGTTTATCTGAAGACATACCCGTTTCCAACGAAATCCTCCAAGCTATCCAAATATCCTCTTGCAGATTCTACAAAAAGAGTGTTTCAAAGCTGCTCTTTGCAAAGAAAGGTTCAACTCTGTCAGTAGAGGGCACACATCACGAACAAGTTTCTGAGAATGCTTCTGTCTAGTTTTTATGGGAAGATATTTCCTTTTTCACGTTAGGCCTGAAAGCACGCCAAATGTTCACTTATAGACACTACAAAAAGAGTGTTTCAAACCTGCTCTGTGAAAGGGAATGTTCAACACTGTGACTTCAATTGAAACATCCCAAAGAAGTTTCTGAGAATGCTTCTGTCTAGAGTTTATCTGAAGACATTCCCGTTTCCCAAGAAATCTTCAAAGCTATCCAAATATCCTCTTGCAGATTCTACAAAAAGAGTGTTTCAAAACTGCTCTTTGCAAAGAAAGGTTCAACTCTGTCAGTAGAGGGCACACATCACAAACAAGTTTCTGAGAATGCTTCTGTCTAGTTTTTATGGGAAGATATTTCCTTTTTCACCTTAGGCCTGAAAGCAATCCAAATGTTCACTTACAGACACTACAAAAAGAGTGTTTCAAACCTGCTCTGTGAAAGGGAGTGTTCAATTCTGTGACTTGAATGCAAACATCACAAAGTAGTTTCTGACAATGCTGCTGTCTGCTTTTTATACGTATTCCCGTTTCCAACGAAATCCTCCAAGCTGGCCTAATACCCACTTTCATATTCCACAAAAAGAGTGTTTCAAAACTGCTCTCTCAAAAGAAAGGTTCAACTCTGTTTGCTGAGTAGATACATCATGAAAAAAGTTCTGACATTGCTTCTATCTAGTTTTTATTGGAAGATATCTCCTTTTTCACCGTAGACCTGAAAGCGCTCCAAATGTCCACTTCCAGATAGTACAAAAAGAGTGTTTCAAACCTGCTCTATGAATGGGAATGTTCAACACTGGGACTTCAATTGAAACATCCCAAAGCAGTTTCTGAGAATGCTCTGTCCAGAGTTTACATGAAGACATTCCCGTTTCCAACGAAATCCTCAAAGCTATCCAAATATCCTCTTGCAGATTTTACAAAAAGTGTGTTTCAGAACTGCTCTATCAAAACAAAGGTTCAACACTGTCAGTTGAGGGCACACATCGCAAATAAGTTTCTGAGAATGCTTGCTGTCTGCTTTTTGTATGTAATCCCGTTTCCAACGAAATCCTCCCAGCTAGCCAAATATCCACTTGCAGATTCCGCAAAAAGAGTGTTTCAAAACTGCTCCTTCAAAACGATGGTTTAGTTCTGTTAGTTGAGTACATACATCACAGATAAGTTTCTGAGAATGCTTCTGTCTAGTTTTTATGGGAGGATATTTCCTTTTTCATCGCAAGCCTGTATGCGCTCCGAATGGACACTTCCAGATATGACAAAAGGCGTGTTTCAACCCTGCTCTCTCAAAGGGAATGTTCAACTCTGTGACTTCAATGCAAACATCACAAAGAAGATTCTGAGAATGCTGCTGTCTGCTTTTTACATGTATTCCCGTTTCCAACGAAATCCTCAAAGCTGCCCTAATATCCACTTGCATATTCCACAAAAAGAGTGTTGCAAAACTGCTCTCTCAAAAGAAAGCTTCAACTCTGTTAGCTGAGTAGATCCATCACATAAAAGTTTCTGACATTGCTTCTATCTAGATTTTCTTGGAAGATATTTCCATTTTCACCGTCGTCCTGAAAGCGCTCCAAATGTCCACTTCCAGGGAATGCAAAAAGAGTGTTTCCAATCTGCTCTATAAAAGGGAATGTTCAACACTGGGACTTCAATCGAAACATCCCAACGAAGTTTCTGAGAATGCTTCTGTCTAGAGTTTATATGAAGCCATTCCCGTTTGCAACGAAATCCTCAAAGCTATCCAAATATCCTCTTGCAGATTTTACAAAAAGAGTGTTTCAAAACTGCTCTATCAAAAGAAAGGTTCAACTCTGTTAGTTGAGGGCACACATCACAAATAAATTTCTGAGAATGCTTCTGTCTAGTTTTTACGGGAAGATATTTCCTTTTTCACCATACACCTGAAAGCGCTCCAAATGTCCTCATCCAGATACTACAAAAACAGTGTTTCAAACCTGCTCTATGAAAGGGAATGCTCAACTCTGTGACTTGAATGCAGACATCACAAAGAAGTTTCTGAGAATGCTGCTGTCTCCTTTTTATATGTAATCCCGTTTCCAACGAAATCCTCAAAGCTAGCCAAATATCCACTTGCAGATTCCACGAAAACAGTGTTTCAAAACTGCTCCTTCAAAACGATGGTTCAATCCTGTTAGTTGAGCAAACACATCACAAATAAGTTTCTGAGAATGCTTCCGTCTAGTTTTTATGGGAAGATATTTCCTTTTTCAACATAGGCCTGAAAGCGCTCCAAATGTCCACTTCCAGATACTACAAAAAGAGTGTTTCAAATCTGCTCTATGAATGGGAATGTTCTACTCTGTGACTTGCATGCAACATCCCAAAGAAGTTTCTGAGAATGCTTCTGTCTAGAGTTTATCTGAAGACATACCCGTTTCCAACGAAATCCTCAAAGCTTTCCAAATATCCTCTTGCAGATTCTACAAAAAGTGTGTTTCAAAGCTGCTCTTTGCAAAGAAAGGTTCAACTCTGTCAGTAGAGGGCACACATCACGAACAAGTTTCTGAGAATGCTTCTGTCTAGTTTTTATGGGAAGATATTTCCTTTTTCACGTTACGCCTGAAAGCACGCCAAATGTTCACTTATAGACACTACAAAAAGAGTGTTTCAAACCTGCTCTGTGAAAGGGAATGTTCAACACTGTGACTTCAATTGAAACATCCCAAAGAAGTTTCTGAGAATGCTTCTGTCTAGAGTTTATCTGAAGACATTCCCGTTTCCCAAGAAATCCTCAAAGCTATCCAAATATCCTCTTGCAGATTCTACAAAAAGAGTGTTTCAAAACTGCTCTTTGCAAAGAAAGGTTCAACTCTGTCAGTAGAGGGCACACATCACAAACAAGTTTCTGAGAATGCTTCTGTCTAGTTTTTATGGGAAGATATTTCCTTTTTCACCTTAGGCCTGAAAGCAATCCAAATGTTCACTTACAGACACTACAAAAAGAGTGTTTCAAACCTGCTCTGTGAAAGGGAGTGTTCAATTCTGTGACTTGAATGCAAACATCACAAAGTAGTTTCTGACAATGCTGCTGTCTGCTTTTTATACGTATTACCGTTTCCAACGAAATCCTCCAAGCTGGCCTAATACCCACTTGCATATTCCACAAAAATAGTGTTTCAAAACTGCTCCCTCAAAAGAAAGGTTCAACTCTGTTTGCTGAGTAGATACATCATGAAAAAAGTTCTGACATTGCTTTCTATCTAGTTTTTATTGGAAGATATCTCCTTTTTCACCGTAGACCTGAAAGCGCTCCAAATGTCCACTTCCAGATACTACAAAAAGAGTGTTTCAAACCTGCTCTATGAAAGGGAATGTTCAACACTGGGACTTCAATTGAAACATCCCAAAGCATTTTCTGAGAATCCTTCTGTCTAGAGTTTACATGAAGACATTCCCGTTTCCAACGAAATCCTCAAAGCTATCCAAATATCCTCTTGCAGATTTTACAAAAAGTGTGTTTCAGAACTGCTCTATCAAAACAAAGGTTCAACACTGTCAGTTGAGGGCACACATCACAAATAAGTTTCTGAGAATGCTGCTGTCTGCTTTTTGTATGTAATCCCGTTTCCAACGAAATCCTCCCAGCTAGCCAAATATCCACTTGCAGATTCCGCAAAAAGAGTGTTTCAAAACTGCTCCTTCAAAACGATGGTTTAGTTCTGTTAGTTGAGTACATACATCACAGATAAGTTTCTGAGAATGCTTCTGTCTAGTTTTTATGGGAGGATATTTCCTTTTTCAACACAAGCCTGAATGCGCTCCGAATGGACACTTCCAGATATGACAAAAGGCGTGTTTCAAACCTGCTCTCTCAAAGGGAATGTTCAACTCTGTGACTTCAATGCAAACATCACAAAGAAGTTTCTGAGAATGCTGCTGTCTGCTTTTTACATGTATTCCCGTTTCCAACGAAATCCTCAAAGCTGCCCTAATATCCACTTGCATATTCCACAAAAAGAGTGTTGCAAAACTGCTCTCTCAAAAGAAAGGTTCAACTCTGTTAGCTGAGTAGATCCATCACAGAAAAGTTTCTGACGTTGCTTCTATCTAGATTTTCTTGGAAGATATTTCCATTTTCACCGTCGTCCTGAAAGCGCTCCAAATGTCCACTTCCAGGGAATGCAGAAAGAGTGTTTCCAACCTGCTCTATAAAAGGGAATGTTCAACACTGGGACTTCAATCGAAACATCCCAACGAAGTTTCTGAGAATGCTCTTCTGTCTAGAGTTTATATGAAGCCATTCCCGTTTGCAACGAAATCCTCAAAGCTATCCAAATATCCTCTTGCAGATTTTACAAAAAGAGTGTTTCAAAACTGCTCTATCAAAAGAAAGGTTCAACTCTGTTAGTTGAGACATTTCACACATGATTGCAAAGAATTAATGAGCCACTAGCAAAGTGCCTAGCACAGTGTTCAAAAAAAATATGAGTTTATCAAGAAACAGTAACCATAATTCATTACCATTTTTTGTATTTTTGAGACAGAGTATCACTCTGCTGCCCAGGCTGGAGTGCAGTGGCCTGATCTCAGCTCACTGCAA